>NC_000010.11:39341705-39409792 GCF_000001405.40 Homo sapiens
TTAACTCTGTGAGATGAATGCACACATCACAAAGAAGTTTCTCAGAAAGCTTCTGTCTAGTTTTTATGTGAAGATATTTCCTTTTTCTCCACAGCCTTCAAAGGGTTCCCAAATATCCCTTTGCAGATTCTACTGAAAGACTGGTTCCTAACTGCTTAATCAAAAGAATGTTTCAACTTTGTGAGATGAATGTGTGGAACACAAAGAAGTTTCTCAGAAAACTTCTGTCTAGTTTTCATATGAAGATATTTCCTTTTCCATCATAAGCCTGAAACTGCTCAGAAATATACCTTTGCAGATTCTACAAAAAGACTGTTTCCAAACGGCTCAATCAAAAGGGATGTTTAACTCTGTGAGATGAATGCACTCATCACAAAGGCGTTTCTCACAAAGCTTCTGTCTGGTTTTTATGTGAAGATATTTGCTTCTTCATCATTGGCCTCAAAAGGCTCCCAAATATCCCTGTCTAGATGCTACAAAAAGACTGTTTCCAAACTGCCCAATCAAAAGAACCTTGCAGCTCTATAGGATGAATGCATGCATCACAAAGAAGTTTCTCAGAAAGCTTCTTTCTAGTTTTTATGTGAAGATATTACCTTTTTTGCCACAAGCCTCAAAGGGATCCCAAATATCCCTTTGGAGATTCTAGAAAAAGACATTTTCCAAACTGCTCAATTGAAGGAAAGTTTCAACACTGGGAGCTGAATGCACACATCACAAAGAAGTTTCTCAGAAAGCTTCTGTCTAGCTTTTATGTGAAGATATTTCCTATTTCACCATAGACCTCAAACTGCTCAGAAATATCCCTTTGCAGATTCTACAAAAAGACTGTTTCCAAACTGCTCAATTAAAAGAAACGTTCAAATCCATGAGATGAATGCACAGATCACAAAGAAGATTCTCAGAAGGCTTCTCTCTAGTGTTTTTGTGAAGATATTACTTTTTCACCATAGGCCACAAAGGGCTCTGAAATATAGCTTTCCTGGTTCCACAAAAAGACATTTTCCAGACTGCTCAATCAAAATAAAGTTTCATCTCTGTGAGATGAATGGACCCATCACAAAGAAGTTTCTCAGAAAGCAACCATCTAATTTTTATGTGAAGATATTCTCTGCTTCACCATGGGCCTCAAAGGGATCCCAAATATTCCATTTCATATTCAACAAAAAGTCTGTTTCCAAACTGCCCAATCAAAAGAAAAGTTCATCTCCATGAGTTGAATGCACACATAACAAAGGAGTTTCTCAGAAAGATTCTATCTAGTTTTTATGTGAAGATATTTCCTTTTTCACCATAGGCCTCAAACTGCTCAGAAATTTTCCTTTGCAGATTCCAGTAAAAGACTGTTTCCAAACTGCTCAATGAAAAGAAAGCTTTATCTCTTGAGATGAATCCACACATCACAAAGAAGTAAATCAGAAAGCTTCTGCCTAGTTTTTATGTGAAGATGTTTCCTATTTCACCACAGGACTCAAAGGGCTCCAAAATATCCCTTTGCTGAATCTGCAAAAAGACCATTTCCAAACTGCCCAATCAAAAGAAAGATTCAACCCTCTGAGATGAATGCACGCATCACAAGAAAGTTTCTCAGAAAACTTCTGTCTAGTTTGTATGTGAAGATATTTCCTTTATCACCATAGGCATCAAAGCACCCTCAAATATCCCTTTGCAGATTCTACAAAAAGACTGTTTCCACACAGTTCAATCAAAAGAAATGTTCAAATCTGTGAGATGAATGCACGCATCATAAAGAAGTTTCTCAGAAAGCTTCTGTCTAGTTTTTATGTGAAGATATTTTCTTTTTCATCATAGGCCTCAAACTGCTAAGAAATATCCCTTTGCAGATTCTACAAAAAGACTGTTTCCAAACTGTTCAATCAAAAGAAATGTTCAACTCTGTGAGACGAGTGCACACATCACAAAGCAGTTTCTCAGAAGGCTTCTGTCTAGTTTTTATGTGAACATATTTCCTTTTTCACCATAGGCCTCAAAGGGCTCCCAAATATTCCCCAGCCGATTCTAAAAAAAGACTGTTTCCAAACTGCTCAGTCAAAAGAAAAGTTCAACTCTGTGAGTTGAATGCACACATCAAAAAAGAGTTTCTCAGAAAGCTTCTGTATAGTTTTATGTGAAGATGTTTCCTTTTTCACCATAGGCCTCAAACCACTCAGAAATATTCCTTTGCAGATTCTAGCAAAAGACTGTTTCCAAACAGCTCAATCAAAAGAAAGCTTTATCTCTTGAGATGAATGCACACATCACAAAGAAGTTTCTCAGAAAGCTTCTGTCTAGGTTTTATGTGATGATATTTCCTTATTCACCACAGGCCTCAAAGGGCTGCCATATATCCCTTTGCAGATTCTGCAAAAAGACTGTTTCCAAACTGCTCAATCAAAAGAAAGTTTCAACCCTCTGAGATGAATGTACGCATCACAAAGAAGTTTCTCAGAAAACTTCTGTCTAGTTTTTATGTGAAGGTATTTCCTTTATCACCATAGGCATCAAAGCGCCCTCAAATATCCCTTTGCAGATTCTACAAAAAGACTGTTTCCACACAGCTCAATCAAAAGAAAGGTTCAAATCTGTGAGATGAATGCACACCTCATAAAGAAGTTTCTCAGAAAGCTTCTGTCTAGT
The DNA here is from genome assembly GCF_000001405.40 of Homo sapiens. NCBI lineage: Eukaryota > Metazoa > Chordata > Mammalia > Primates > Hominidae > Homo > Homo sapiens. Next base: position 39,344,343 of record NC_000010.11, read on the forward strand.
TTTTATGTGAAGATATTTTCTTTTTCATCATAGGCCTCAAACCACTAAGAAATATCCCTTTGCAAATTCTACAAAAAGACTGTTTCCAAACTGCTCAATCAAAAGAAATGTTCAACTCTGTGAGACGAGTGCACACATCACAAAGAAGTTTCTCAGAAAGCTTCTGTCCAGGTTTTATATGAAGATATTTCCTTTTTCACCACAGGCTTCAAAGGGCTGCCATATATCCCTTTGCAGATTCTGCAAAAAGACTGTTTCCAAACTGCTCAATCAAAAGAAAGTTTGAAACCTGAGAGATGAATGCACGCATCACAAAGAAGTTTCTCAGAAAACTTCTTTCTAGGTTTTATGTGAAGATATTTCCTTTATCACCATAGATGTCAAAGCTCCCCCAAATATCCCTTTGCAGATTCTACAAAAAGACTGTTTCCAGACTGCTCAATCAAAAGAAAGGTTAAACTCTGTGAGATGAATGCACACATCACAAAGAAGTTTCTCAGAAGGTTTCTGTCAAGTTTTTATGTGAAGATATTTCCTTTTTCACCTTAGGCCTCAAAAGGCTCAGAAATGTCACTTTGCAGATTCTAGAAAAAGACTGTTTCCAAACTGCTCAATCAAAAGAAATGTTCAATTCTGTGAGGTGAATGTACACATCACTTAGAAGTTTCTCAGAAAACTTCTGTCTAGTTTTTATGTGAATATATTTCCTTTTTCTCCACAGGCCTCAAAGAGCTCCCAAATATCCCTTTGCAGATTCTACTAAAAGACTGTTTTCAAACTACTCAATCAAAAGAAAGTTTCAACTCTGTGAGATGAATGCTCACAACACAAACAAGTTTCTCAGGAAGCTTCTGTGTAGTTTTCATATGAAGATTTTTTTTTCCACCATAAGCCTCAAACAGCTCAGAAATATTCCTTTGCAGATTCTACAAAAAGACTGTTTCCAAATTGCTCAATCAAAAGGGAGGTTCAACTCTGTGAGATGAATGCACTCATCACAAAGACGTTTCTTACAAATCTTCTGTATGGTTTTTATGTGAAGATATTTGCTTTTTCATCATAGGCCTCAAAAGTCTCCCAAATATCCCTTTCCAGATTCTAGAAAAAGACTGTTTCCAAACTGCTGAATCAAAAGAACTTGCAACCCTATAGGATGAATGCATGCATCACAAAGAAGTTTCTCAGAAAGCTTCTGTCTAGTTTTTATGTGAAGATATTACCTTTTTCACTATAGGCCTCAAAGGGATCCCAAATATCCCTTTGGAGATTCTACAAAAAGACATTTTCCAAACTGCAGAATTTAAGGAAAGTTTCAACAGTGGGAGAAGAATGCACATATCACAAAGAAGTTTCTCAGAAAGGTTCTGTCTAGTTTTTATGTGAAGATATTTCCTATTTCACCATAGGCCTGAAACCGCTCAGAAATATCACTTTGAAGATTCTACAAAAAGATTGTTTCCAAACTACTCAATTAAAAGAAACGTTGAAATCCGTGAGATGAATGTACACATCACAAAGAGGTTTCTCAGAAATTTTCTGTCTACTTTTTATGTGAACATATTTCTTCTTCACCATAGACCTCAAAGGGCTCTGAAATATCCCTTTGCTGATTCCACAAAAATACGGTTTCCAGAATGCTCAAAGAAGAGAAAGTTTCAACTCTGTGAGATGAATGCATGTATCACAAAGAAGTTTCTCAGAAAGCATCTGTCTAGTTTTTATGTGAAGACATTCCCTTTTTCACCATGGGCCCCGAAGGGATCCCAAATATTCCATTGCAGATTCCACAAAAAGACTTTTTCCAAACTGCTCAATCAAAAGAAAAGTTCATCTCTGTGAATTGAATGCACACATAACAAAGAAGTTTCTCAGAAAGCTTCTGTCTAGTTTTCATATGAAGATATTTCCTTTTCCACCATAAGCCTCAAACCGCTCAGAAATATCCCTTTGCAGATAATACAAAAAGTCTGTGTCCAAACTGCTCAATCAAAAGTGACGTTCAACTCTGTGAGATGAATGCACTCATCACAAAGACATTTCCCGCAAGCTTCTGTCCGGTTTTTATGTGAAGATATTTGCTTTTTCATCGTAGGCCTCAAAAGGCTCCCAAATATCCCTTTCCAGATTCTACAAAAAGACTGTTTCCAAACTGCTCAATCAAAAGAAACTTGCAACTCTATAGGATGAATGCTCGCATCACAAAGAAGTTTCTCAGAAAGCTTCTGTCTAGTTTTTATGTGAAGATATTACCTTTTTCACTAAAGGCCTCAAAGAGATCCCAAATATCCCTTTGGAGATTCTACAAAGAGACATTTTCCAAACTGCTCAGTCAAAGGAAAGTTTCAACACTGGGAGCTGAATGCACACATCACAAAGAAGTTTCTCAGAAAGCTTCTGTTTAGTTTTTATGTGAAGATATTCCCTATTTCACCATAGGCCTCAAACTACTCAGAAATGTCCCTTTGCAGATTCTCCAAAAAGACTATTTCCAAACTGCTCAATTAAAAGAAATGTTCAAATCTGTAAGATGAATGCACACATCACAAAGAAGTTTCTCATAAAGCTTCTGTCTACTTTTTATGTGAAGATATTTCTTTTTCACCATGGGCCACAAAGGGCTCTGAAATATCCCTTTGCTGATTCCACAAAAATACTGTTTCCAGAATGCTCAATCAAAAGAAAGTTTCAACTCTGTAAGATGAATGCATGCATCACAAAGAAGTTTCCCAGAAAGCATCTATCTAGTTTTTACGTGAACATATTCCCTTTTTCACCATGGGCCTCAAAGGGATCCCAAATATCCCATTGCAGATTCCACAAAAAGACTGTCTCCAAAATGCTCAATCAAAAGGAATTTCATCACTGTGAGTTGAATGCACACATAACAAAGAAGTTCCATGAGTTGAATGCACACATAACAAAGAAGTTTCTCAGAAAGCTTCTGTCTAGTTTTTATGGGAAGATATTTCCTTTTTCACCATAGGACTCAAGCCACTCCAAAATATTCCTTTGCAGATTCTAGTAAAAGACTGTTTCCTAACTGCTCAATCAAAAGAAAGTCTTAATTCTGTGAGATGAATGCACACATCACAAAGAAGTTTCTCAGAAAGCTTCTGTCTAATTTTTATGTGAAGATATTTCCCATTTCACCACAGGACTCAAAGGACTGCCAAACATCCTTTTGCAGATTCTCCAAAAATACTGTTTCAAACTGCTCAATGAAAAGAAAGTTTCAACCCTCTGAGATGAATGCATGCATCACAAAGAAGTTTCTCATAAAATTTCTATCTAGTTTTTATGTGAAGATATTTCCTTTGTCACCATAGGCATCAAACTGCCCTTAAATATCCCTTTGCAGATTCTATGACAAGACTGTTTCCATATGGCTCAATCAAAAGAAAGTTTCAAACCTGTGAGATGAATGCAAACATCATAAAGAAGTTTCTCAGAAACCTTCTGTCTAGTTTTTATGTGAAGATATTTACTTTTTCATCATAGGCCTCAAACCGCTAACATCCCTTTGCAGATTCTACAAAAAGACTGTTTCCAAACTGCTCAATCAAAAGAAATGTTCAACTCTGTGAGATGAGTGCACACATCACAAAGAAGTTTCTCAGAAAGCTTCTGTCTAGTTTTTTAGCGAACATATTTTCTTTTTCACCAGAAGCCTCAAAGGGCTCCCAAATATTCCCCAGGAGATTCTACAAAAAGACTGTTTCCAAATTGCTCAATCAAAAGGAAAGTTCAACTCTGTGGGTTGAATGCACACATTCCAAAAGAGTTTCTCAGAAAGCTTCTGTCTAGTATTTATGTGAAGATATTTCCTTTTTCACCATAGGCCACAAACCTCTTAGAAATATCCCTTTGCAGATTCTACAAAAAGACGTTTTCCAAACTGCTCAGTCAGAAGAAAGCATCAACTCCGTGAGATGAATGCATATGTTACAAAAAAGTTTCTCAGAAATCTTCAGTCTAGGTTTTATGTGAAGATATTTCCTTTTTCATCATAGTCCTCAAAGGGATCCCAAAAATCCCTTTGCAGATTTTACAAAAATACTGTTTCCAAAATGCTCAATCATAAGAAAGTTTCAACTCTGTGAGATGAATGCACACATCAAAAAGAAGTTTCTCAGAAAGCTACTGTGTAGTTTTCATAAGAAGATATTTACTTTTTCAGCATAGGCCCCAAATCGCTTGGGAATATCCCTTTGCAGATCTATAAAAATACCGTTCTCCAACTGCTCAATCAAAAGAAATGTTGAACTATTTTTTTCTTTTTTTTATTATTCTTCTTTAAGTTTTAGGGTACATGTGCACAATGTGCAGGCTCAATCAAAAGAAAAGTTCAAGTCTGTGAGTTGAATGCACACATCAAATAGAAGTTTCTCAGAAAGCTCACTGTCCAATTTCTATGTTAAGATATTCCCTTTTTCACCATAGGCCTCAAAGGGATCTCAAATATCCCTTTGCAGATTCTAGAAAAAGACTGTTTCCACCTGCTCAATCAAAAGAAATGTTCAACTTTGTGAGTTCAATGCACATATCACAAAGAAGTTTCTCAGAAAGCTTCTGTCTAGTTTTCATGTGAAGATATTTCCTTTTTCACCATAGGCATGAAAGCGCCCTCAGATATCCTTTTCCTGATTCTACAAAAGACTGTTTCCAAACTGCTCAATCAAAAGAAAGGTTCAAATCTGTGAGATGAATGCACACATCACAAGGAAGTTTCTCAGAAAGCATCTGTCTAGTTTTTGTATGAAGATATTTCCTTTTTCACCATAGGCCTCAAACCACTCAGAAATATCCTAATGCAGAATCCACAATAAGACTGTTTCCAAACTGCTCAATCAAGTTAAAAGTTCAAGTCTGTGAGTTGAATGCACACATCAAAAAGGAGTTTCTCTGAAAGCTCTGTCTAGTTTTTATGTGAAGACATTTTGTTCTTCACAAAAGGCCTCAAACCACCCCGAAATATCCCTTTGCTGATTCTAGAAAGAGACTGCTTCCAAACTTCTCAATTAAAAGAAAGCTTCAACTCTGTGACGTGAATGCACACATCACAAAGAACTTTCTCAGAAATATTCTGTCTAGTTTTTATGGGAAGATATTTCCTTTTTCACCATAGGCCTTAAACTGCTCAGAAATATCCCTTTTCAGATTCTAGAAAAAGACTGTTTCCAAACTGCTCAATAAAAAGACATGTTCAGCTCTGTGAGATGAATGCACACATTAATAAGAATTTTATGAGAAAGCTTCTGTGTAGCTTTTATGTGAAGATATTCCCTTTTCCACCATAGGCCACAAAGGGATCCCAAATATCCCTTCTGCAGATTCTACAAAAAGACTGTTTCCAAAACCCTCAATCAAAAGAAAGGTTCAACTCTGTGTGTTGAATGTACACATCACAAAGAAGATTCTCAGAAAGCTTCTGCCTAGTTTTTATGTGAAGATAGTTCCTATTTCACCATAGGCCTAAAACTGCTCAGAAATATCCCCTTGCAGATTCTAGAAAAAGACTGTTTCCAAACTGCTCAATCAAAAGAAAGTTTCAACTCCGTGAGATGAATGCACACATCCCAAAGAAGTTCCTCAGACAGCTTCTGTGTAGTTTTTATGTAAAGGTATTTCCTTTTTCACTATAGGCCTCTAACTGCTCAGAAATATCCCTTTGCATATTCTACACAAAGACTGTTTCCAAACTGCTCAATCAAAACAAAGCTTCAACTCTGTGAGATGAATGCACACATCCTAAAGAAGTTTCACAGAAAGTTTGTATCTAGTTTTTATGTGAAGATATTTCCCTTTTCAACATAGGCCTCAAAGGGTGATGAAATATCCCTTTGTAGATTCTACAAACAGACTGTTTCCAAACTGCTCAATCAAAAGAAAGATTCAACACTGAGAGATGAAGGCACACATCACAAAGTATCTTTTGAGAAATCTCTGTCTAGTTTTTACGTGAAGATATTTCCTTTTTCACCTAGGACTCAAAGGGTTTCCAAATTTCCCTCAGCAGATTCTGAAAAAAATAAAATAAAAAAAGGCTGTTTTGAAACTGCTCAAATAAAAGAAAGGTTCAATTCTGTGAGATGAATTCAAACATCATAAGGAAGATTCTCTGAGAGCTTCTGTCTAGTTTTTATATTAACATATTTACTTTTTCATCATGGTCCTCCAATTGCTCCCAAATATCCCTTTGCAGATTCTAAAAAAAGACTGCTTCCAAACTGCTCAATCAACAGAAAGGATCAACTCTGTGAGTTGAATGCACACATCACAAAGATGTTTCTCAGAATGCTTTTGTCTACTTTTTATGTGAAGGTATTTCCTTTTCACACTAGGCCTCACTCAGAATTATCCCTTTGAACATTCTACAAAAAGACTGTTTCCAAACTGCTCAATGAAAAGAAAGTTTCAACTCTGTGAGATGAATGCACTCATCATTAAGAAGTTTCTCAGAAAGCTTCTGTCTAGTTTTATGTAAAGACATTCGCTTTTTCACCGTAGGGTGTAAAGGGATGTCAAATGTCTCTTTGCAGATTCTATACAATGATTGTTTCCAAACAGCTCAATCAAAACAAAGGTTCATCTCTGTGAGTTGAATGCAAACATCACAAAAAAAGTTTCTCAGAAAGCTTCTGTCTAGTTTTTAATTGATGATATTTCCTTTCTCACCCTAGGTCTCAAACCTCTCAGAAATATACCTTTGCAGATTCTAGAAAAAGACTGTTTCCAAACTGCACAATCTAAAGAAAAGTTCAACTCTGTGAGATGAATGCACACGTTAAAAAGAGGTTTCTCAGAAAGCTTCTGTCTAGTTTTTATGTGAAGATATTTCCTTTTTCACCATCGGCCTCAAACCGCTCAGAAATATCCCATTGCAGATTCCATAAAAAGACTCTTTCCAAACTGCTCAATGAAAAGGAAGTTTCAACTCTGTGAGATTAATGCACACTTTACAAAGAAGTGTCTTAGAAATCTGTCTAGTTTTTATATGAAGATATTCCGTTTTTCACCATAGGCCTCAAAGGGATCCCAAATATCCCTTGCAGTTTCTGTAAAAAGATTGTTTCCAAACTGCTAAATCAAAAGAAAGTTTCAACTCTGTGAGTTACATGCAAACACCACAAAGAAGTTTCCAGAAAACTTCTGTCTAGTTTTTACTTGAAGATATTTCCTTTTTCACACTAGGCCTCACACCACTCAGAAATATCCCTTTGCAGATTCTAGAAAAGGACTGTTTCCAAACTACTCAATCAAAAGAAAGTTTCAACTCTGTGAGATAAATGCACATATCAGAAATAAGTTACTGAGAAAGATTCTGTCTAGTTTTTATGTGAAGATATTTCCTTTTTCACACTAGGCCTCATACCGCTCAGAAGTATCCCTTTGCAGATTCTAGAAAAAGACTGTTTACAAACTGCTGAGGAAAAGAAAGTCTCAACTCAGTGAGATAAATGCACACATTACAAGGAAGTTTCTCAGAAGGCTTTTGTCTAATTTTTATGTGAAAATATTTCCTTTTTCAACATAGGCATCAAAAAACTAAGAAAAATACCTTTTCAGGTTCTACAAATAGACTGTTTAAAAACTGCTCAATCAAAAGAAAGTTTCATCTCTGTGAGATAAATGCACACATCACAAAGAATTCTCTGAAAATGTTTTTGTCTAGTATTCATGTGAAGATATTTCCTTTTTCACCATAGGTCTCAAAGGGTTCCTAATTATCTCTTTGCAGATTCTACAAAAAGACTGTTTCCAAACTGTTCAATCAAAGGAAAGGTCCAATTCCGTGAGATGAATGCACACATCATAAAGATGTTTCTCAGAAAGCTTCTGTTTGGTTTTCATATGAAGATATTTCCTTTTTCTCCATAGGCCTCAAACTGCTCAGAAATATCCCTTCACAGATTTTTGAAAAACAATGTGTTCAATCTGCTCAATCAAATCAAAGCTTCAACTCTGAGAGATGAATGCACACATCACAAAGAATTTTCTGAGAAATCTTCTGTCTAGTTTTTATGTGAACATATTTCGTTTTTCACCATAGGCCTCAAAGGGTTCCCAAATATCCCTTTGCAGATTCTACAAAATGACCGTTTCCTAACTGCTCAATCAAAAGAAAGGTTCAACTCTCTGGGATGAATGCACACATTATTAAGTGGTTTCTCAAAACTTGTGTCTAGTTTTTATATGAAGATATTTCTTTTTTCACCATAGTCCTCAAACCGCTCAGAAATATCCCTTTGCAGAAACTACAAAAAGGCAGTTTCCAAACTGCTCAATGAAAAGAATGGATCAACTCCGTGAGATGAATGCACACATCACAAAGAAGTGTCTCAGAAAGCTTCTGTCTAGTTTTCATGTGAATATATTCCCATTTTCACTAGAGTCCTCAAGGGGATCCCAAATATCCCTTTGTAGATTCTACAAAAAGACAGTATCTAAACTACTCAATCAAAAGAAAGGTTCAACTCTGTGAGATGAATCCACACATCACAAAGAATTTTTTGTGAAAGCTACTATCTAGTTTTAATGTGAAGGTATTTCCTTTTTCACCATAGGCCTCAAAGGGCTCCCAAATATCCCTTTGCAGATTCTATAAAAAGACTGTTTTCAAACTGCTCAGTCAAAAGAAAGGTTCAACTCCGTGAGTTGAATGCACACATTGAAAAGAAATTTCTCAGAAAGCTTCTATCTAGTTTTTATGTGAAGATATTCCCTTTTTCACCATAGGCCTCAAAGGGATCCCAAATATCTCATGGCAGATTCTACAAAAAGACTGCTTCCAAACTGCTCAATGAAAAGAAAGGTTCAACTGTGTGATATGAAGGCACACATCTTAAAGAAATTTCTTAGAAAGCTTCTGTCTAGTTTTCACATGAAGATATTTCCTTTTTCACCATAGGCCTCAAACCACTCAGTAACATCCCTTTGCAGATTCTACCAAAAGACTATTTCCAATCTGTTCAATCAAAAGAAAGTTTCAACTCTGTAGGATGAATGCATACATCATTAACAGGTTTCTCAGAAAGCTTCTGTCTAGTTTTTATATGAAGATATTTCCTTTTTCACCATAGGCCTCAAGCCGCTTAGAAATATCCCTTGTCAGATGCTACAAAAAGACTGTTTCCAAACTGCTTAATCAAAAGAAAGGTTCAACTTTGTGACATGAATGCACATATCACAAAGAAGTTTCTCAGAAAGCTTCTATCTAGTTTTTAAGAGAAAATATTCCCTTTTTCACCATGGGCCTCAAATAGTACCCAAATATCCCCTTGCAGATACTACAAAGGGACTGTTTCCAATCTGCTCAATGAAAAGAAAGGTTCAATGCTGTGAGTTGAATGCACACATCATAAAGAAGTTTCTCAGAAAGTTTCTGTCTAGTTTTTATGTGAAGATATTTCCTTTTTCACCATTGGACTCAAACCACTCAGAAATATCCCTCTGCAGATTCTACAAAAAGACTGTTTCCAAACAACTCAGTCAAAAGAAAGTTTCAACTTTATGAGATGAATGCATACAACACAAGGAAGTTTCTCAGAAAACTTCTGGCTAATTTTTAAGTGAAGATATTTCCTTTTTCATCATAGGACTCAAACTGCTCAGGCTCAGAAATCTCCCTTTGCAGATTCTACAAAAAACGGTTTTCAAACTTCTCAATCAAAAGAAAGGTTCAACCCTGTGAGATGAAAGCACATATACCAAAGAATTTTCTGAGAAAGCTTTTGTCTAGTTTTCATGTGAAGATATTTCCTTTTTCACCATGAATCTTAAAGGGTTCCTACATATACCTTTGCAGATTATACAAAAAAGCTGTTTCCAAACTGCTCAATCAAAAGAAATGTTCAACTCTGTGAGATGAATTCACACATCTGAGAAAAGTTTCTCAGAGTGCTTCCATCTAGTTTTAATATGAGGGTATTTCGTTTTTCACCATAGGCCTCAAACCACTCAGAAATATCCCTTTGGAGATAATACAAAAATACTGTCTACAAACTGCTCAATCAAAAGAAAGGTTCAACTCTGTGAGATGAATGCATACATCACAAAGAAGTTTCTCAGAAAGCTTCTGTCTAGTTTTTATGTGAAGATATTCCCTTTTTCTTTTTTTTTATTTTGTTATTATTATACTTTAAGTTTTAGGGTACCTGTGCACAATGTGCATGTTAGTTACAAATATATACATGTGCCATGCTGGTCTGCTGCACCCATTAACTTGTCATTTAGCATTAGGTATATCTCCTAATGCCATCCCTCCCCCCTCCCGCCATGACACAACAGTCCCCGGAGTGTGATGTTCCCCTTCCTATGTCCATGTGTTCTCATTATTCAATTCCTACCTATGAGTGAGAGCATCTGGTGTTTGGTTTTTTGTCCTTGCGATAGTTTACTGAGAATGATGATTTCCAATTTCATCCATGTCCTTACAAAGGACATGAAATCATCATTTTTTATGGCTGCATAGTATTCCATGGGGTATATGTGCAACATTTTCTTAATCCAGTCTATCATCGTTGGACATTTGGGTTGGTTCCAAGTCTTTGCTATTGTGAATAGTGCTGCAATAAACATACATGTTCATTTGTCTTTATAGCAGCATGATTTATAGTCCTTTGGGTATATACCCAGAAATGGGATGGCTGGGTCAAATGGTACTTCTAGTTCTAGATCCCTGAGGAATCACCACACTGACTTCCACAATGGTTGAACTAGTTTACAGTCCCACCAACAGTGTAAAAATGTTCCTATTTCTCCACATCCTCTCCAGCATCTGTTGTTTCCTGACTTTTTAATGATTGCCATTCTAACTGGTGTGAGATGGTATCACATTGTGGTTTTGATTTGCATTTCTCTGATGGCCAGTGATGCTGAACATTTTTTCATGTGTTTGGCTGCATAAATGTCTTCTTTTGAGAATTGTCTGTTCATGCCCTTCTCCCACGTTTTGATGGGGTTGTTTGTTTTTTTCTTGTATATTTGTTTGGGTTCATTGTAGATTCTGGATATTAGCCCTTTGTGAGATGAGTAGGTTGTGAAAATTTTCTCCGATTTTGTAGGTTGTCTGTTCACTCTGATGGTAGTTTCTTTTGCTGTGCAGAAGCTCTTTAGTTTAGTTAGATCCCATTTGTCAATTTTGGCTTCTGTTGCCATTGCTTTTGGTGTTTTAGACATGAAGTCCTTGCTCATGCCTGTTTCCTGAATGGTAATGCCTAGGTTTTCTTCTAGGGTTTTTATGGTTTTCAGTCTAATGTTTAAGTCTTTAATCCGTCTTGAATTGTTTTTTGTATAAGGTGTAAGGAAGGGATCCAGTTTCAGCTTTCTACATATGGCTAGCCAGTTTTCCCAGCACCATTTATTAAATAGGGAATCCTTTTGCCATTGCTTGTCTTTCTCAGGTTTGTCAAAGATCAGATAGTTGTAGATATGTGTCATTATTTCTGAGGGCTCTGTTCTGTTCCATTGATCTATATCTCTGTTTTAGTACCAGTACCATGCTGTTTTGGTTGCTGTAGCCTTGTAGTATAATATGAAGTCAGGTAGTGTGATGCTTCTGGCTTTGTTCTTTTGGCTTGGGATTGACTTGGTGATGCAGGCTCTCCTTTGGTTCCATATGTACTTTAAAGTAGTTTTTTTCTCATTCTGTGAAGAAAGTCATTGGTAGCTTGATGGGGATGGCATTGAATCTATAAATTACCTTGGGTAGTATGGCCATTTTCACAATATTGATTCTTCCTACCCAAGAGCATGGAATGTTCTTCCATTTGTTTGTATCCTCTTTTATTTCATTGAGCAGTGGTTTGTAGTTCTTGAAGAGGTCCCTCACATCCCTTGTAAGTTGGATTCCTAGGTATTTTTTTCTCTTTGAAGCAATTGTGAATGGGAGTTCACTCATGATTTGGCTCTCTGTTTGCTTCTTATTTGTGTATAAGAATGTTTGTGATTTTTGTACATTGATTTTGTATCCTGAGACTTTGCTGAAGTTGCTTATCAGCTTAAGGAGATTTTGGGATGAGACAATGGGGTTTTCTAGATATACAATCATCTCATCTGCAAACAGGGACAATTTGATTTCCTCTTTTCCTAATTGAATACCCTTTATTTCCTTCTACTGCCTAATTGTCCTGGCCAGAACTTCCAACACTATGTTGAACAGGAGTGGTAAGAGAGGGCATCCCTGCCTTGTGCCAGTTTTCAAAGGGAATGCTTCCAGCTTTTGCCCATTCAGTATGATATTGGCTGTGGATTTGTCATGGATAGCTCTTATTATTTTGAGATACATCCCATCAATACCTAATTTATTGAGAGATTTCAGCATGAGCAGTTGTTGAATTTTGTCAAAGGCCTTTTCTGCAACTATTGAGATAATCATGTGGTTTTTGTCTTTGGTTCTGTTTGTATGCTGGATTACATTTATTGATTTGCGTATATTGAACCAGCCTTCCATCCCAGGGATGAAGCCCACTTGATCATGGTGGATAAGCTTTTTGATGTGCTGCTGGACTCAGTTTGCCAGTATTTTATTGAGTATTTTTGCAAGTCCTGAGTGACCTACAAAGAGACTTAGACTCCCACACAATAATAATGGGAGACTTTAACAACCCACTGTCAACATTAGACAGATCAACAAAACAGAAAGTTAACAAGGATACCCAGGAATTGAAAGCTCTGCACCAAGTGGACCTAATAGACATCTACAGAACTCCACACCCCAAATCTACAGAATATACATTTTTTTCAGCAGCACACCTATTCCAAAACTGACCACATACTTGGAAGTAAATCTCTCCTCAGCAAATGTAAAAGAACAGAAATTATAACAACCTGTCTCTCAGACCACAGTGCAATCAAACTGGAACTCAAGATTAAGAAACTCACTCAAAACTGCTCAGCTACATGGAAACTGAACAACCTGCTCCTGAATGACTACTCGGTACATAACGAAATGAAGGCAGAAATAAAGATGTTCTTTGAAACTAACGAGAACAAAGACAGAACATACCAGAATCTCTGGGACACATTCAAAGCAGTGTGTAGAGGGAAATTTATAGCACTAAATGCCCACAAGAGAAAGCAGGAAAGATCCAAACTTGACACCATAACATCACAATTAAAAGAACAAGAAAAGGAAGAGCAAACACATTCAAAAGCTAGCAGAAGGCAAGAAATAACTAAAATCAGAGCAGAACTGAAGGAAATAGAGACACAAAAAAACCCTTCAAAAAATTAATGAATCCAGGAGCTGGTTTTTTGAAAGGATCAACAAAATTGATATACCACTAGCAAGACTAATTAAGAAGAAAAGAGAGAAGAATAAAATAGACGCAATAAAAAATGACAAAGGGGATATCATCACCTATCCCACAGAAATACAAACTACCATCAGAGAATACTACAAACACCTCTATGCAAATAAACTAGAAAATCTAGAAGAAATGGATAAATTCCTCGACACATACACCTTCCCAAGACTAAACCAGGAAGAAGTTGAATCTCTGAATAGACCAATAACAGGATCTGAAATTGTGGGAATAATCAATAGCTTACTAACCAAAAAGAGTCCAGGACCAGATGGATTTACAGCCGAATTCTACCACAGGTGCAAGGAGGAACTGATACCTTTCCTTCTGAAACTATTCCAATCAATAGAAAAAGAGGGAATCCTCCCTAACTCATTTTATGAGGTCAGCATCATCCTGATACCAAAGCCGGGCAGAGCCACAACCGAAAAAGAATTTTAGACAAATATCCTTGATGAACGTTGATATTCCCTTTTTCAACGTAGGCCTCAAAGGTATCCAAAATATCCCTTTGGAGATTCTACAGAAAGACTGTTTGGAAACTGCTCAATCAAAATAAAGATTCAGCACTGTGAGTAGAATGCACACATCACAAAGAAGTTTCTCAGAAACCTTCTGTCTACTTTTTATATGAATATATTTCCTTTTTCACCACAGACCTCAATCTGCTCAGAAATATCCCTTTGTAGATTCTACAAAAAGACTGTTTCCAAACTACTCAATCAAAAGAAAGGTTCAACTCTGTGAGATGAATGCGCATATAACAAAGAAGTTTCTCAGAAAGTTTCTGTCTAGTTTTTATGTGAAGATATTACCTTTTTCACCGTAGGTCTCAGTGCACCCTCAAGTATCCCTTTGCTGGTTCTAGAAAAAGACCATTTCCAAGCTGTTCAATCAAAAGAAAGGTTCAGCTCTGTGAAATGAATGCACCCATCATAAAAAAGTTTCTCAGAAAGCTTTGGTCTAGTTTTTACACAAAGATATTTCCTTTTTCACCACAAGCTTCAAACTGCTCAGCAATATCCCTCAGCAGATTCTACAAAAAGACTGTTTCCACGCTGCTCAATTAAAAGACAGTTTTGACTCTGTGACATGGATGCACACATAAAAAAGAAGCTTCTCAGAAAACTTCTGTCTAGTTTTTAAGTGAAGATATTCCCTTTTTCAAAACAGCCCTCAAAGGGATCCCAAGTATCGCTTTGCAGATTCTACAAAATACTTCTTCCTAACTGCTCAATCAAAAGAAAGTTTCAACTCTGTGAGTTGAATGCACACATCACAAAGACGCTTCTCAGAGAGCTTCTGTCTACTTTTTACATGAAGGTATTCCCTTTCTCACCATAGGCCTCAAAGGACTCCCAATTACTCCTTTGCAGATCCTATAAAAAGGATCTTTCCAAACTGCTCAATCAAAAGAAACTTTCAACTATTTGAGTTGAATGCACACATCATGAAGAGGTTTCTCAGAAAGCTTCTGTCTAGTTTTTATGTGAAGATATTTCCTTTTTCATGGTAGGACTCAAATGGCTCAGAATTATCCCTTTGAAGATTGTAGAAAAAGACTGTTTCCAAACTGCTCAATCAAAAGAAATCTTCCACTCTGTGAAATGAATGTGCTCATCACAAGGAAGTTTCTCATAAAGCTTCTGTCTCGTTTTTATGTGAAGATATTTCATTTTTCACCATTGGCCTCAAACTGCTCAGAAATACCCCTTAGGAGACTATACAAAAACAATGTTTCCAAACTCCTCATTCAAAAGAAAGGTTCAAACCTGTGAGGTGAATGCACACATCACAAAGAAGATTCTCAGAAAGCTTCTGTCTAGTTTTTATATGAAGGTATTTCCTTTTTCACCAAAGACCTCAAATGGCTCCTAAATATCCCTTTGCAGATTCTACAAAAAGAATGTTTCCAAACTGCTCAACCAAAAGAAAGTTTCAACTCTGTGACATGAATTCACACATCATAAAAAGGTTTCTCAGAAAGCTTCTGTATATTTTTATATGAAGATATTTCCTTTTTCACCATAGGCCTCAAATGGGCTCACAAATATCCTACTGTGTCTTCTACAAAAAGACTGTTTCCAAACTGCTCAATCAAAAGAAATGTTTAACTCCATGAGTTGAATGCACACATCACAAATAATTTTCTGAGAAAGATTCCGTCTAGTTTTTATGTGAAGATAATTTCCTTTTTCACCATAGACCTCAAAGGGTGCCCAAATATCCCTTTGCAGATTATGCAAAAGAGTGTTTCCAAACTGCTCAATCAAAAGAAGTGTTCAACTCTGTGAGCTGAAAGCACACATCACAAAGAAGTTTCTCAGAATGCTTCTGTCTAGTTTTTATGTGAAGATATTTCCTTTTTCATCATACGCCTCAAACTAGTCAGAATTATCCCTTTGCAAGATTCTAGAAAAAGACTGTTTCCAAACTGCTCAATCAAAAGAAAGGTCAAGTCTGTGAGTTGAATGAACACATCACAAAGAAGTTTCTCAGAAAGCTTCTGTCTAGTTTTTATGTGAAGCTATTCCCTTTTTCATGATAGGCCTTAAAGGGATCCCGAATATCCATTTGCAGATTCTACAAAATGAGTGTTTCCAGACTGCTCAATCAATAGAAAGGCACAACTCTGTGAGATGAATGCACATAACACAAAGAAGTTTCTCAGAAAGTTTATATCTAAGAATGATGGTTTCCAGTTTCATCCATGTCTCTAAAAAGGACATGAATTCTTCATTTTTTGTGGTTGCATAATATTCCATGGTGTATGTGTGCCACAATTTCTTAATCTAGTCTATCGTTGTTGGACATTTGGGTTGGTTCCAAGTCTTTGCTGTTGTGAATAGTGCCACAATAAACATACGTGTGCATGTGTCTTTATGGCAGCATGATTTATAAACCTTTGGGTACATACCAAGTACTGGGACAGCTGGGTCAAATGGTATTTCTAGTTCTAGATCCCTGAGGAATCACCACACTGATTTCCACAATGGTTGAAATAGTTTACAGTCCCACCAGCAGTGTAAAAGTATTCTTATTTCTCCACATCCTCTCCAGCACCTGCTGTTTCCTGACTTTTTAATGATTGCATTCTAACTGGTGTGAGATGATATCACATTGTGGTTTTTATTTGCATTTCTCTGAAGGCCAGTGATGATGAGCATTTTTTTCATGTGTTTTTTGGATGCATAAATGTATTTGAGAGGACAAATAACCAAACACCTTATGTTCACACTCATAGGTTGGAATTAAACAATAAGAACACTTGGACACAGGAAGGGGAACATCACACTCTGGGTATTGTTGTGGGGTGTGGGGAGGGGTGTGTGGAAATATACCTAATGCTAAATGACAAGTTAATGGGTGCAGCACACCAACATGGCACATGTATACATATGTAACAAACCTGCACATTGTGCACACATACTCTAAAACTTAAAGTATAATAATAAAATAAAATAAAGAAAGTTTCTGTCTAGTTTTTATATGAAGATATTTCCTTTTTCACCATAGGACTCAAACTGCTCAGAAATATCCCTTTGCAGATTCTACAAAAATACTGTTTCCAAACTGCTCAATGAAAAGTAAGGTTCAACTCAGTAAGATGAACACACATATCACAAAGAAGTTTCACAGAAAGCTCCTGTCTAGGTTTTATGTGAAGATATTCCCTTTTTCACCACAGGCCTCAAAGGGAACCCAAATATCCCTTTGCAGATTCTACAAAAAGTCTGTTTCCAAACTACTCAATCATAAGAAAGATTCAACTCTGTTAGTTGAATGCACATATCCAAAGAATTTTCTGAGAAAGCTTCCGTCTAGTTTTTATGTGAAGATAATTCTTTTATCACCATAGGCCCCAAAGGGTCCCCAAATATCCCTTTCCAGATTCTACAAAAAGACTGTTTTGAAACTGCTAAATCAAAAGAAATGTTCACCTCTGTGATAAGAAGGCACACATCATAAAGAGGTTTCTCAGAAAGCCTCTGTCTAGTTTTTATATGAAGATATTTCCTTTTTCACCATAGGCCTCAAAACGCTCAGAAATATCTCTTTGCAGATTCTACAAAAAGTCTGTTTCCAAACTGCTCAATCAAAAGAAAGGTTCAAAACTGTGAGATGAATGCAGATATCACAGAGAAGTTTCTCAGATACTTCTGTCTAGTTTTTCTATGAAGATATTCCCTTTTTCACCATAGGCCTCAAAGGGATCCCAAATATCCCTTTGCAGATTGTACAAAAAGAGTGTTTCCAAACTGCTCACTCAAAAGAAAGGTTCAACTCTGTGAGTTGAATGCACACTTCAGCAAGAAGTTTCTCAGAAAGCTTCTGTCTAATTGTTAAGTGAAGATATTGCCTTTTTCCCAATGGCCTCAAACCACTCACAAATATCCCTTTGTAGATTCTACCAAAAGACTATTTTGAAACTGCTCAATCAAAGGAAAGTTTCAACTCTGTGAAGTGAATGCACACATCATAAGGAAGTTTCCCAGAAAGTTTCTGTCTAGTTTTTGTATGAAGACATTTCCTTTTTCATCATAAGCCTCAAACTGCTTAGAAATATCCCTTTGCAGATTCTAGTAAAAGACTGTATCCAAACTCCTCAATCAAACGAAAGTTTCAACTGTGTGATGTGAATACACACATCACAAAGAAGTTTCTCAGAAAGCTTCTGTCTAGTTTTTATGGGAAGATATTTCCTTTTTCACCATATGCCTCAAAGCACTCCAAATATGCATTTGCAGTTTCTACAAAAAGACTGTTTCTAAACTGCTCAGTCAAAAGGAAGTTTCAACTCTGTGAGATGAATGCACACATCACAAAGAAGTTTCTCAGAAAGCTTCTGTCTAGTTTTTATGTGAAGGTATTTCCTTTTTCACCATAGGCCTGAAATGGCTCAGAAATATCCCCTTGCGTATTCTAGAAAAAGACTGTTTCCAAACTGCTAAATCAAAAGAAAGGTTCAACTCTTTGACATGAATAAACACGTCACAAATGAATTTCTCAGGAAGCTTCTGTCTAGTTTTATGTGAAGATATTCCCTTTTTCACCATAGGCCTCAAAGGGATCCCAAATATCCCTTTGCAGATTCTTTAAAAAGACTGTTTCCAAAGAGCTCAATCCAAAGAAATGTTCAACTCTGTGAGGTGAATGCAAACATCACAAAGAAGTTTCTCAGAAAGCTTCTGTCTAGTTTTTATGTGAAGTTATTTCCTTTTTCACCATAGGCCTCAGACTTCTAGGAAATACCCATTACAGATTCTAGAAATAGACCATTTCCAAACTGCTTAATGAAAAGAAAGCTTCGACTCTGTGAGATGAATGCACACATCACAAAGAAATTTCTCAGAAAGTTTCTGTCTTCTTTTTATGTGAAAATATTTCCTTTTTCACCATAGGACACAAACCTCCTAGAAATATCCCTTTGCAGATTCTACAAAAAATCTATTTCCAATCTGCTCAATCAAAAGAAAGGTACAACTCTGTGAGATGAATGCACATATCACAAAGAATTTTCTGTGAATGCTTCTGCCTAGTTTTTATGTGAAGATATTTCCTTCTTCACCATAGGCCTCAAAGGGCTCCCTAACATCCCTCTTCAGATTCTACAAACAGACTGATTCCAAACAGCTCAATTGAAAGAAAGGTTCAACAGTGTGAGATGAATGCACACATCATAAAGAAGTTTCTCAGAAAGATTCAGTCTAGTTTTTATATGAAGATATTTCCTTTTTCAACATAGACCTCAGACCACTCAGAAACATCCCTTTGCAGATTCTACAAGAAGACTGTTTCCAAGCTGCTCAATCAAAAGAAATGTTAAACTCTGTGACATTAATGCACATATAACAAAGAAGTTTCTCAGACACTTCTGTCTAGTTCTTATGTGAAGATATTCCCTTTTTCACCATAGGTCTAAAAGGGATCACTAATATCCCCTTGCAAATTTTACAAAAAAGACTGTTTCCTAACTGCCCAATCAAAAGAAAGGTTCAACTCTGTGAGTTGAATGTGCACATCACAAAGAATTTCTCAGAAAACTTCTGTCTAGTTTTTTTGTGAAGATATTTCCTTTTTCACCATATGCCTCAAACCGCTCAGAATATCCCTTTGCAGATTCTTTAAAAAGACTGTTTCTGAAATGCTCAATCAAAAGAAAGGTTCAACTCTGTGAGATGAATGCACACATCACAAAGAAGTTTCTCAGAAGGCTTCTGTCTAGTTATTATGTGAAGCTATTTCCTTTTTCATCATAGGCCTCAAAGGGGTCCTAAATATCCCCTTGCACATTCTAAAAAAACACTGTTTTCAAACTGCACAATGAAAAGAAAGGTACAACTCTGTCCGTTGAATGCAGACATCACAAATTACTTTCTGAGGAAGTTTCTGTCTAGTTTTTTTTGTGAAGATATTTGGTTTTTCAACATAGGCCTCAAACGGCTCAGAAATATCCCTTTGCAGATTATACAGAAAGACTTTTTCCAAATTCCTCAATCAAAAGAAAGGTTCAAATTTGGGAGTTGAATGCACACATCAAAAGAATTTTCTCAGAAAGATTCCGTCTAGTTTTTATGTAATGATATTTCCTTGTTCACCATAGGACTCAACCCCTCAGGAATATCCTTTTGCAGATTCCAGAAAAAGTCTGTTTCCAAACTGCTCAATCAAAAGAAAGCTTCGACTCTGTGAGATGAATGCACGCATCAAAATAGTTTTCTCTGAAAACTTCTGTCTAATTTTTATGTGAAGATATTTCGTTTTTCACTATAGGCCTCAAACCGTTCAGAATTATCCCTTTGCAGATGCTACAAAAAGACTGTTTCCAAACTGTTCAATCAAAATAAATGTTCAACTTTGTGAGATTAATGCACACATCACAAATAATTTTCTGAGAAAGCTTCTGTCTGTTTTTTATGTGAAGATATTTCCTTTTTCACAATAGGCCTCAAAGGGCTCCCAGATATCCCTTTGCAGATTATTCAAAAAGACTGTTTCCAAACTGCTCAATCAAAAGTAAGGTTCAATTCTGTGAGACGAATGCACAGATCATAAGGAAGTTTCTCAGAAAGCTTCTGTGTAGTTTTTATATGAACATATTTCCTTTTTCACCATAGGCCTCAAACTGCTCAGATATATCCCTTTGCAGAATCTACAGAAAGACTTTTTCCAAATTTCTCAATCAAAAGAAAGTTTCAACTCTGTGAGATGAATGCACATTACACAACGAAGTTTCTCAGAAATCTTCTGTCTAGATTTTAGGTGACCATATTTCCTTTTTCAACATATGCCTCAAAGGGCTCCCAAATGTCCTTTTGCAGATTGTACAAAAAGACTTTTTCCAAACTGCTTAGTCAAAAGATTTCAAGTCTGTGATTTGAATGCACACATCAAAAAGAAGTTTCTCAGAAAACTTCTGTCTAGTTTTTAGGTGAAGATATTCCCTATTTCTCCCTATGCCTTAATGGGATCCCAAATATCCCTTTGCAGATTCTGCAAATAGACGGTTTCCAAGCTGCTCAATCAAAAGAAAGTTTCAACTCTGTGAGATGAATGCAAACATCACAAGGAAGTTTCTCAGAAAGCTTCTGTCTAGTTTTTATGTGAAGATATTTCCTTTTTCACCACAGGCCTCAAGCCACTCAGAATCATCCCTTTGCAGATTCTGCACAAAGACTGTTTCCAAATTGCTCAATCAAAAGAAAGTTTCAACTCTGTAAGATGAATACACACATCACAAAGAAGTTTCTCAGAAATCTTCTGTCTAGTTTTTATGTGATGATATTTCCTTTTTCACCATAGGCCTCAAACTGCTCAGAAATATTGCTTTGCAGATTCCACAAAAAGACTATTTCCAATCTGCTCAATCAAAAGAAATGTTCAACTCTGTGAGATGAATGGACACATCACAGAGAATTTTCTGAGAAAGATTCGGTCTTGTTTTTAGGTGAAGATATTTCCTTTTTCACCATAGGCCTCAAACCACTCAGAAATATCCATTTGCAGATTCTATAAAACGACTGTTTCCAAACTGCTCAATCAAAACTAAGTTTCAACTCTGTGACATGAATGCACACATCACGAAGAACTTACTCAGAAAGCTTCTGTCTAGTTTTGCTGTGAAGATATTCCCCTTTTCACCATAGGCCTCAAAGGGATATCCCCTTGCAGATTCTACAAAAAGACTGTCTCCAAAATGCTCAATCAAAAGAAAGCTTCAACTCTGTGAGATGAATGAACACATCACAAAGAATTTTCTGAGAAAGCTTCTGTCTTGTTTTTATGTGAAGATATTTCCTTTTTCACCATAGGCCTCAAACTGCTCAGAAATATTGCTTTGCAGATTCTACAAAAAGACTGTTTCCAATCTTCTCAATCAAAAGAAATGTTCAACTCTGTGAGATGAATGGACACATCACAAAGAATTTTCTGAGAAAGCTTCTGTCTTGTTTTTATGTGAAGATATTTCCTTTTTCACCATAGGCCTCAAACTGCTCAGAAATATTGCTTTGCAGATTCTACAAAAAGACTGTTTCTAATCTTCTCAATCAAAAGAAATGTTCAACTCTGTGAGATGAATGGACACATCACAAAGAATTTTCTGAGAAAGATTCTGTCTTGTTTTTATGTGAAGACTTTTCCTTTTTCACCATAGGCCTCAAACCACTCAGAAATATCCATTTGCAGATTCTATAAAACGACTGTTTCCAAACTGCTCAATCAAAACTAAGTTTCAACTCTGTGACATGAATGCACACATCACGAGGAAATTACTCAGAAAGCTTCTGTCTAGTTTTGATGTGAAGATATTTTCCTTTACACAATATGCTTCTAGCCACTCAGGAATATCCCTTTTCAGATTCTAGAAAGAGACTGTTTCCAAACTGCTCAATCAAAAAAAGTTTCAACTCTATGAGATGAATTCACACATCACAAAGAAGTTTCTCAGAAAGCTTCTGTCTCTTTTATATGTGAAGATATTCCCTTTTCCACCATGGGCCACAAAGGGATCCCAAATATCCCTTTGCAGATTCTAGAAAAAGACTGTTTCCAAACTGCTCAATCACAGAAAGTTTCAACTCTGTGAGATGAATGCAAACATCACAAAGAACTTTCTCAGAATATACCTGTCTGATTTTTATGTGAAGATATTTCCTTTTCCAGCATAGGCCTCAAATGGCTCCAAAATATCCCTTTGCAGATTCTACAGAAAGACTGTTCCCAAACTGCTCAATCAAAAGAAAAGTTCAAGTCTGTGAGTTGAATGCACACATCAAAAAGAAGTTTCTGCAGAAAGCTTCTGTCTCGTTTTTATGTGAATATATTCCTTTTTTCACCCTACGCCTTAAAGGGATCCCAATTATCCCTTCACACATTCTACAAAAAGACTGGTTCCAAACTGCTCAATCAATGGAAAGATTCAACCCTGTGAGATGAATGCACTCGTCATAAAGAAATTTCTCAGAAATCTTCTGTCTAGTTTTTTTTTATTATTATACTTTAAGTTTTAGGGTACATGTGCTCAATGTGAACGTTTGTTACATATGTATACATGTGCCATGTTTGTGTGCTGCACCCATTAACTCGTCATTTAGAATTAGGTATGTCTCCAAATGCTATCCCTCCCCATTCCCCCAGCCCCACAACAGTCCCCAGAGTGTGATGTTCCCATTCCTGTGTCCAGGTGTTCTCATTGTTCAATTCCCACCTATGAGTGAGAACATGTGGTGTTTGGTTTTTTGTCCTTGCCATAGTTTGCTGAGTATGATGGTTTCCAGTTTCATCCATGTCTGTGCAAAGGACATGAACTCATCATTTTTTACAGTTGCATAGTATTCCATGGTATATATATGCCACATTTTCTTAATCCAGTCTATCATTGTTGGACATTTGGGTTGGTTCCAAGTCTTTGCTATTGTGAATAGTGCTGCAATAAACAGATGTGTGCATGTGTCTTTCTAGCAGCATGATTTATAATCCTTTGGGTATATTCCAAGTAGTGGGATGGCTGGGTCAAATGGTATTTCTAGTTCTAGATCCCTGAGGAATCGCCACACTGACTTTCACAATAGGTGAACTAGTTTACAGTCCCACAAACAGTGTAAAAGTATTCCTATTTCTCCACATCCTCTCCAGCACAT
This sequence comes from Homo sapiens, assembly GCF_000001405.40. Lineage (NCBI taxonomy): Eukaryota > Metazoa > Chordata > Mammalia > Primates > Hominidae > Homo > Homo sapiens. Next base: position 39,367,789 of record NC_000010.11, read on the forward strand.
GTTGTTTCCTGCATTTTAATGATGGCCATTCTAACTGATATGAGATGGTATCTCATTGTGGTTTTGATTTGCATTTCTTTGATGGCTAGTGATGATGAGCATTTTTTCATGTGTTTTTTGGCTGCATAAATGTCTTATTTTGAGAAGTGTCTTTTCAGATCCTTCCCCCACTTTTTGATGGGGTTGTTTGCTTTTTTGTTGTAAATTTGTTTGAATTCATTGTAGATTCTGGATATTAGCCCTTTGTCAGATGAGTAGGTTGAGAAAATTTTCTCCCATTTTGTAGGTTGCCTGCTCACTCTGATGGTAGTTTCTTTTGCTGTGCAGAAGCTCTTTAGTTTAATTAGATCCCATTTGTCAATTTTGGCTTTTGTTGCCATTGCTTTTGGTGTTTTAGATATGAAGTCCATGCCCATGCCTATGTCCTGAATGGTAATGCCTAGGTTTTCTTCTAGGGTTTTGATGGTTTTAGGTCTAACATGTAAGTCTTTAATCCATCTTGAATTAATTTTTGTATCAGGTGTAAAGAAGGGATCCAGTTTCAGCTTTCAACATATGGCTAGCCAGTTTTCCCAGCACCACTTATTAAATAGGGAATCCTTTCCCCATATTTTGTTTTTGTCAGGTTTGCAAAGACCAGACAGTTGTAGATATGCGGCATTATTTCTGAGGGCTCTGTTCTGTTACACTAATCTATATCTCAGTTTTGGTACCAGTACTATGCTTTTTGGTTACTGTAGCCTTGTAGTATAGTTTGAAGTCAGGTAGCATGATGCCTCCGGCTTTGTTTTTTTGGCTTAGGTTTAACTTGGTGATGCAGGCTCCTTTTTGGTTCCATATGAACTTTAATGTACTTTTTTCCAATTCTGTGAAGAAAGTCATTGGTAGCTTGATGGGGATGGCATTGAATTTATAAAATACCTTGGGCAGTATGGCCATTTTCTTGATAATCATTCTTCCTACCCATGAGCATGGAATGTTCTTCCATTTGTTTGTGTCCTCTTTTATTTCTTTGAGCAGTGGTTTGTAGTTCTCCTTGAAGAGGTCCTTCACATCCCTTGTAATTTGGATTCCCAGGTATTTTAGTCTCTTTGAAGAAATTGTGAATGGGATTTCACTAATGATTTGTCTCTCTGTCTGTTATTGGTGTATAAGAATGCTTGTGATTTTTGCACATTGATTTTGTATCCTGAGATTTGCTGAAGTTGCTTATCAGCTTAAGGAGATTTTGGGCTGAGACAGTGGGGTTTTCTAGATATATAATCATGTCATCTGCAAACAGGGACAATTTGACTTCCTCTTTTCCTAATTGAATACCCTTTATTTCTTTCTCCTGCCTAATTGCCCTGGCCAGAACTTCCAGCACTATGTTGAATAGGAGTGGTGAGAGAGGGCATCCTTGTCTTGTCCCAGTTTTCAACGGGAATGCTTCCAGTTTTTGCCCATTCAGTACGATATTGTCTGTGGGTTTGTCATAGATAGCTCTTAATATTTTGAGATACGTCCCATCAGTACCTAATTTATTGAGAGTTTTTAGCAGGAAGCATTGTTGAATTTTGTCAAAGGCCTTTTCTGCATCTATTGAGATAATTATTCGGTTTTTGTCTTTGGTTCTTTTTATATGCTGGATTACAGTTATTGATTGGCATATGTTGAACCAGCCTTGCATCCCATGGATGAAGCCCACTTGATCATGGTGGATAAGATTTTTGATGTGCTGTTGGATGTTGTTTGCCAGTATTTTGTTGAAGATTTTTCATCAATATTCATCAAGGATATTGGTCTAAAATTCTCTTTTTTGGTTGTGTCTCCGCCACACTTTGGTATCAGGATGATGCTGACCTCACGAAATGAGTTAGGGAGGATTACCTCTTTTTCTATTGATTGGAATAGTTTCAGAAGGAATGGTACCATTTCCTCCTTGTGCCTCTGGTAGAATTCGGCTGTAAATCCATCTGGTCCTGGACTTTTTTGGTTGGTAAGCTACTGATTATTTCCACAATTTCAGAGTCTGTTATTGGTCTATCTAGAGATTCAACGTCTTCCTGGTTTAGTCTTGGGAGGGTGTATGTGTCGAGGAATTTATCCATTTCTTCTAGATTTTCTAGTTTATTTGCATAGAGGTGTTTATAGTATTCTCTGATGGTAGTTTGTATTTCTGTGGGATCGGTGGTGATATCCCGTTTATCATTTATTATTGTGTCTATTTGATTCTTCTCTCCTTTCTTCTTCATTAGTCTTGCTAATAGTCTATCAATTTTGTTGATCTTTTCAAGAAACCAGCTCCTGCATTCATTGATTTTTTGAAGGGTTTTTTGTGTCTCTCCTTCAGTTCTGCTCTGATCTTAGTTATTTCTTGCCTTCTGCTAGCTTTTGAATGTGTTTGCTCTTGTTTTTCTAGTTGTTTTAATTGTGATGTTATGGTGTCAAGTTTGGATCTTTCCTGCTTTCTCTTATGGGCATTTAGTGCTATAAATTTCCCTCTACACACTGCTTTGAATGTGTCCCAGAGATTCTGGTATGTTCTGTCTTTGTTCTCGTTAGTTTCAAAGAACATCTTTATTTCTGCCTTCATTTCGTTATGTACCGAGTAGTCATTCAGGAGCAGGTTGTTCAGTTTCCATGTAGTTGAGCGGTTTTGGGTCAGTTTCTTAATCCTGGGTTCTAGTTTGATTGCACTGTGGTCTGAGAGACAGGTTGTTATAATTTCTGTGCTTTTACATTTGCTGAGGAGTGCTTTACTTCTAACTATGTGGTCAACTTTGGAATAGGCGTGGTGTGCTGCTGAAAACAATGTATATTCTGTTGATTTGGGGTGGAGAGTTCTGTAGATGTCTATTAGGTAGGCTTGATGCAGAGCTGAGTTCAATTCCTGGATATCTTTGTTAACTTTCTGTCTCGTTGATCTGTCTAATGTTGACAGTGGGTTGTTAAAGTCTCCCAATATTATTGTGTGGCAGTCTAAGTCTCTTTTTAAGTCACTAAGGATGTGCTTTATGAATCTGGCTGCTCCTGTATTGGGTGCATATATATTTAGGATAGTTAGCTCTTCTTGTTGAATTGATCCCTTTACCATTATGTAATGGCCTTTTTGTCTCTTTTGATCTTTGTTGGTTTAAAGTCTGTTTTATCAGAGACTAGGATTGCAACCCCTTCCTTTTATTGTTTTCCATTTGCTTGGTAGATCTTCCTCCATCCCTTTATTTTGAGCCTATGTGTGTCTCTGCATGTGAGATGGGTTTCCTGAATACATCACACTGATGGGTCTTGACTCTTTATCAAATTTCCCATTCTGTGTCTTTTAATTGGAGCATTTAGCCCATTTACTTTTAAAGGTAATATTGTTATGTGTGAATTTGTTCCTATCATTATGATGTTAGCTGGTTATTTTGCTCGTTAGTTGATGCAGTTTCTTCCTAGCCTTGATGGTCTTTACATTTTGGCATGTTTTTGCTGTGGCTGGTCCCGGTTGTTCCTTTCCATCTTTAGTGCTTCCTTCAGGAGCTCTTTTAGGGCTGGCCTGGTGGTGACAAAATCTCTCAGCATTTGCTTGTCTGTAAAGTACTTTATTTCTCCTTCACTTACGAAGCTTAGTTTGGCTGGTTATGAAATTCTGGGTTGAAAATTCTTTTCTTTAAGAATGTTGAATATTAGTCCCCACTCTCTTCAGGCTTGTAGAGTTTCTGCTGAGAGATCCACTGTTAGTCTGATGGGCTTCCCTTTAAGGGTAACCCGACCTTTCTCTCTGGCTGCCCTTAACATTTTTTCCTTCATTTCAACTTTGGTGAATCTGACAATTATGTGTCTTGGAGTTGCTCTTCTCAATGAATATCTTTGTGGTGTTCTCTGTATTTCCTGAATCTGAATGTTGGCCTGCCTTGCTAGATAGGGAAGTTCTCCTGGATAATATCCTGCAGAGTGTTTTCCAACTTGGTTCCATTCTCCCCATCACTTTCAGGTACACCAATGAGATGTAGATTTGGCCTTTTCACATAGTCCCATATATCTTGGAGGCTTTGTTCATTTATTTTTATTATTTTTTCTCTAAACTTCCCTTCTTGCTTCATTTCATTCATTTCGTCTTCCATCACTGATACCCTTTCTTCCAGTTGATTACATCAGCTCCTGAGGATTCTGCATTCTTCAGGTAGTTCTTGAGCCTTGGCTTTCAGCTCCATTAGCTCCTTTAAGGACTTCTCTGCATTGGCTATTCTAGGTATCCATTCATCTAATTTTTTTCAAAGTTTTTAACTTCTTTGCCGTTGGTTTGAATTTCTTCCTGTAGCTCAGAGTGGTTTGATCATCTGAAGCCTTCTTCTTTCAACTTGTCAAAGTCATTCTCTGTCCATCTTTGTTTTGTTGCTTGTGAGGAGCTGTGTCCCTTTGGAGGAGGAGAGGCACTCTGCTTTTTAGAGGTTCCAGTTTTTCTACTCTGTTTTTTCCCCATCTTTGTGGTTTTATCTACTTTTGGTATTTGATTATGGTGACGTACAGATGGGTTTTTGGGGTCGATGTCCTTTCTGTTTGTTAGTTTTCCTCCTAACAGACAGGACCCTCAGCTGCAGGTCTGTTGGAGTTTGCTAGAGGTCCACTCCAGACCCTGTTTGAATGGGTATCAGCAGCAGTGGCAGTAAAACAGCGGATATTGGTGAACTGCAAATGCTGTTGCCTGATCATTCCTCTGGATATTTTGTCTCAGAGGAGTACCCAGCTGTGTGAGGTGTCAGTCTGCCCCTACTTGGGTGTACCTCCCAGTTAGGCTGCTTGGGGTTCAGGGACCAGCTTGAGGAGGCCATCTGCCTGTTCTCAGATATCCAGCTGCATGCTGAGAGAACCACTATTCCCTTAAAAGCTGTCAGACAGGGACATTTAAGACTGCAGAGGTTTCTGCAGTCTTTTTGTTTGTCTGTGCCCTGCCCCCAAAGGTGGAGCCTACAGAGGCAGGAAGGCCTTCTTGAGCTGTGGTGGGCTCCACCCTGTTCGAGCTTCCCGGCTGCTTTATTTACCTAATTAAGTGTGGGCAATGACAGGCGCCCTTCCCTAAGCCTCGCTGTCACTTGCAGTTTGATCTGACTGCTGTGCTAGCAACCAGTGAGACTCCGTGGGTATAGGACCCTCTGAGCCAGGTGTGGGATATAACTTCCTGGTGTGCCGTTTTTTAAGGGCAGTGACCCAATTCTCAGGTGCAGTCTGTCAACCCTTTCTTTGACTAGGAAAGGGAACACCTTGACCCCTTGTGCTTCCCGAATGAGGCAATGCCTTGCCCTGCTTCAGCTCACCAAGTTAAGCTGCAACCACTGTCCTGTACCCACTGTCTGGCACTCCCTAGTGAGATGAACGTGATACCTCAGATGGAAATTCAGAAATCTCCCATCTTCTGCATCACTCATGATGGGAGCTTAGACTAGAGTTGTTCCTACACAGCCCTCTTGGCTCCAACTCCCTGTCTACTTTTTAAACGAAGATATTTCCTTTTCCACATAGGCCTCAAAGCACTCCAAATATCCCCTTGCATATTCCTCAAAAAGAGTGTTTCAAAACTGTTCAATCAAAAGAAAGGTTCAACTCTGTGAGATGAATGCACATATTCCAATGAAGTTTCTCAGAAAGCTTCTGTCTGGTTTTTATTTGACGATATTTCCTTTTGCATCATTGGCCTCAAACCACTCAGAAATGTCCCTTTCCATATTCTACAAATAGACTGTTTCCAAACTGCTCAATCAAAAGAAAGTTTGAACTCTGTGAGTTGAATGCAAAAATCACAAAGAAGTTTCTGAGAATTCTTCTGTCTAGTTTTTAAGTGAAGTATTTCCTTTTTAACCACAGTCCTCAAACAGCTCTGAAATATCCCTTTGCAGATTCAAGAAAAAGACTTTCCAAACTGCACAATGAAAAGAAACGTTCAACTCTGTGAGATGAATGCATACATCACAAAGAAGTTTCTCAGAAAGCTTCTGTCTAGATTTTATGTGATGATATTTATTTGCACACCATAGGCCTCAAACCATTCAGTAATACCACTTTGCAGATTCTAGAAAAAGACTGTTTCCAATCTGCTCAATCAAAAGAAAGTTTCAACTCTGTGAGATGAATGCGCACATCACAAAGAAGTTCCTCAGAGTTGAGTGCACACATCACAAAGAAGTTTCTGAGAAATCTTCTGTCTAGTTTTTACGTGATGATATTTCCTTTTCTGACATAGGCATCAAAAGGATCCCAAATATCCCTTTGCAGATTCTACAGAAAGACTGTTTCCAAACTGTTAAATCAAAAGAAAAGTTCAACTCTGTGAGTTGAATGCACACATCACAAAGAAGTTTCTCACAAAAATTCTGTTTGGTTTTTATGTGTAGATACTTCCTTTTACACTATAGGCCTCAAACCGCTCAGAAATATCCCCTGACAGATTCTATAAAAAATTGTATCCAAACTGCTCAATCAAAACAAAGCTTCAGGTATGTGAGATGAATGCACACATCACAAAGAATTTTCTCAGAAAGCTTGTGTCTTTTTTTTATATGAAGATATTCCCTTTTTCACCATAGGCCTCAAAGAGATCTCAAATATCCCTTTGCAGATTGTATAAAAAGACTGTTTCCAAATTGCTCAATCAAAAGAAAGTTCAACTCTGGGAGTTGAACACAAACAGCACAAGGAAGTTTCTCAGAAACCTTCCGTCTAGTTTTTATGTGAAGATGTTTCCTTTTTCACCATGGGCTTCAAACTGCTCAGAAATATCCCTTTGCATATGCTTGAAAAAGACTGTATCCAAGCTGCACAATGAAAAGAAAGGTTCAACACTGTGAGATGAATGCACACATCACAAAGAAGTTTCTCAGAAAGCTTCCATCTAGTTTTTATGTGAGGATATTTCCCTGTTCACCATGGGCCTCATATCGCTTGGGAACATTCCTTTGCAGATTCTGGAAAAAGATCGTTTCCGAACTGCTCCATCAAAAGAAAGTTTGATCTCTGAAAGACGAATGCACACATCACAAAGAAGTCTCTCAGAAAACTTCTGTCTAGTTTTTATGTGAAAATATTTCATTTTTCACCATAGTCCTCAAAACCGCTCAGAAATATCCCTTTGCAGATTCTACTAAAAGACTGTTTTGAAACTACTCAATCAAAAGAAAGGTTCAACTCTGTGAGATGAATGCACACATCACAAAGAATTTCCTGAGAAAGCATCTGTCTAGTTTCTATGTGAAGATATATCCCTTTTCAACATAGGCCTCAAAGGGCTCCCAAATATCCCTTTGCAGATTCTGCAGAAAAACGGTTTCCAAACTACTCAATCAAAGGAAAAGTTCAACTCTATGAGATGAATGCAAACATCATAAAGAAGTTTCTCAGAAAACTTCTATCCAGTTTTATAGGAAGATATTTCCTTTTTCACCATAGGTCTCAAAACGCTCAGAAACATCCCTTTGCTGATGTAAAAAAAGACTGCTTCCAAACAGCTCAATCAAAAGAAAGGTTCATCTGTGTGAGATGAATGCACATATCACAAAGAAGTTTCTCAGAAAGCGTGTGTCTAGTTTTTACTTGAAGATATTCCTTTTTTCACCATAGCCCTCAAAGGGATCCGAAATATCCATATGCAGATTCTATAAAAAGACTATTCCAAACAGCTCAATCAAAAGAAAGGTTCGAATTTGTGGGTTGAATGCACACATCATAAAGAAGGTTCTCATTAAGTTTCTCTCTAGTTTTTATGTGAAGATATTTCCTTTTTCATCATTGGTCCCAAACCGCTCAGAAATATCCCTTTGCAGATAGTAGAGAAAGACTGTTTGCAAACTGCTCAATCAAAAGTAAGGTTCAACTCTGTGAGAAGAATGCACACAAAACAAAGAAGTTTCTCAGAAAACTTCTGTCTAGTTTTAATATGAAGATATTTCCTTTTTCACCACAAGCCTCAAACCACTCAGAAATATCCCTTTGGCAGATACTAGAAAAAGACTATATCCAAACTGCTCAATCAAAAGAAAGTTTCAACTCTGTGAGAAGAATGCACACATAACAAAGATGTTTCTCAGAAAGCTTCTGTCTAGTTTTAACGTGAAGATATTTCCTTTTCACCATAGGCCTCAAACCGCTCAGAAATATCCCTTTGCAGACTCTACAAGAAGACTGTTTCCAAACTGCTCAATCAAAAGAAAACTTCAACTCTGTGAGATGAATGCCCACATCACAAAGAATTTTCTGAGAAAGATTCTGTCTAGTTTCTATATGAAGATATTTCCTTTTTCATCTTAGGCCTCAAACCACTCAGAAATATCCCTTTGCAGATTCTAGAAAGAGACTGTTTCCAAACTGCTCAATCAAAGGAAAGGCTCAACTCTGTGAGATGAATGCACATACCACAAATAAGTTTCTCAGAGAGTTTGTGTCTGGTTTTTATGTGAACATATTTCTTTTTTCACCATAGGCCTCAAAACGCTCAAAAATATCCCTCTGCTGATTCTACACAAAGGTGGTTTCCAAACTGCTCCACCAAAAGAAACAACTTTCAACTCTGTAAGATGAATGCACGTATCTCAAAGAATATTCTGAGAAATTTTCTTACTAGTTTTTTGGTGAATATATTCCCTTTTTGACCACAGGCCTCAAAGGGCCCCTAAATATCCCTTTGCAGATTCTACAAAAAGACTGTTTCCAAGCTGCACAATCAAAAGAAGTGCTCAAGTCTGTGATTTGAATGTCCATAACAAAAAGAAGTTTCTCTGAAAGCTTTTGTCTAGTTTTTATGTGAAGCTATTCTCTTTTTCAAAGTAGTCCTTAAAGTGATCCCAACTATCCTTCTGCAGATTCTACAAAAAGACTGTTTCCAAACTGCTTAATCAATAGAAAGGTTCGACTCTGTGAGATGAAAGCACACATCATATAGATGTTTCTCAGAAAGCTTCTGTCTAGTTTTTATGTGAAGATAATCCCTTTTTCACCATAGGTCTCAAAACGCTCAGAAACATCCCTTTTGCAGATTCTACACAAAGACTCTTTCCAAACTGCTCAATCAAAAAAATATTCACCTCTGTGAGATGATTGCTCAGATCACAAAGAATTTTCTGAGAAAAATTCTTGCTAATTTTTTGTGAATATATTTCCTTTTTCACCACAGGCCTCAAAGGCCCCCTAAATATCCCTATGCAGGTTCCACAAAAAGACTGTTTCCAAACTACTCAATAAAAAGAAAGGTTCAACTCTGTGTGATGAATGCACTCATCACAAAGAAGTTTCTCAGGAAGCTTCTGTCTAGTTTTTATGTGAAGATATTTCCTTTTTCACAATAGGCCTCAGACCGCTCAGAAATATCCATTTGCAGATTCTAGAAAAAGACTGTTTTCAAACTGCTCAATCAAAAGAAAAGTTCAACTATATGACATGAATGCACACATCAAAAAGAAATTTCACAGAAAGCTTCTGTCTAGTTTTATGGGAAAATATTTCCTGTTACACCACAGGCCTCAGGCCACTCAGAAATATCCCTTTGCAGATTCTACAAATAGACTGTATCCAAACTGCTCAATCAAAAGAAAGCTTCAACTCTGTGAGATGAATGAACACATCCCAAAGAAGTTTCTGAGAAAGTTTCTCTGTAGTTTTTATGTGAAGATATTCCCTTTTTAACCATAAGCCTCAAAGAGATACAAAATATCCCCTTGCAGATTCTAGAAAAAGACTGTGTCCAAACTGCTCAATCAAAAGAAAGCTTCATCTATGTGAGATGAATGCACACATCACAACGAAGTTTCTCGGAAAGTTTCTGTCTAGTTTTTACTTGACGATATATTCTTTTCACCATAGGCCTCAAACTGCTCAGAAATATCCCCTTTCAGATTCTTCAAAAAGACGTTTCCAAACTGCTCAATCAAAAGAAATGTTCAACTCTGTGAGATGAATGCACCCATTACTAATTATTTTCTGAGGAAGCTTCTTTCTAGTTGTTATGTGAAGATATTTCCTTATGGACAACGGGTTCAAAATGTCACTTTGTAGATTCTACAAAAAGACTGTTTCAAAACTGCTCAATCAAAAGAAAGGTTCAACTCTGTAAGATGAATGCACACATCACAAAGAAGCTTCTAAGAAAGCTTCTGTCTAGTTTTCATGTGAAGATATTTCCTTTTTCACCATAGACCTCAAAGGGATCCCAAATATCCATTTGCAGATTCTATAAAAGACTGTTTCCATACTGCTCAATCAAAAGAAAGTTTCAACTCTGTGAGATGAATGCACACATCATAATGAAGTTTCTCGGAAACCTTCGGTCTAGTTTTTATATGAAGAAATCTCTTTTTTTCCCCATAGGCCTTAAGGGGCTCCCAAATATCCCTTTGCGTATACCACTAAAAGACTGTTTCCAAACTGCTCAATCAAAAGAAAAGTTCAACTCTGTGAGATGATTACACAGAACATAAAGAAGTTTCTCAGAAAGCTGCTGTATATTTTTTATATGAAGATATAACTTTTTTCACCATAGGCCTCAAACCACTCAGAAATATCCCTTTGCAGATTATACAAAAGGACTGTTTCCAAACTGCTCAGTCACAAGAAATGTTCAGCTATGTGAGATGAAACCACACATCACAAATAAGTTCCTCAGAAAGCTCTTGTCTAGTTTTATGTGAGGATATTCCCTTTTTCACCTTAGGCCTAAAGAGATCCCAAATATCCATTTGCAGATTCAGCAAAAAGACTGTGTCCAAACTGCTCAATCAAAAGAAGGTTCAACAGAGTGAGTTGAATGCACACATCACAAAGAAGTGTCTCAGATAGCATCTGTCTAGTTTTTATGTGAAGATATTTCCTTTTTCACCACAGGTCTCAAACCGCTCTGAAATATCCCTTTGCAGATTATACAGGAAGACTGTTTCCAAGTTGCTCAATCAAAAGAAATCTTCAACTCTGTGAGATGAATGCACACATCACAAGGAATTTTCTGAGAAAGCTTCTTACTAGTTTTTTTTGTGAATAAATTTCCTTTTTTACTATAGGCCTCAAATAGCTCCTAAATATTCTTTGCAGATTCTACAAAAAAACTGTTTCCAAACTGCTCAATCAAAATAAAGGTTCAAATCTGTGAGATGAGTGCACACATCACAAAGAAGTTTCTCAGAAAGCTCCTGTCTAGTTTTTATATGAAGATATTTCCTTTTACACCATGTGTCAAAGCACTCAGAAATATCCCTTGGCAGATTCTAGAAAAAGACTGTTTACAAACTGCTCAATCAAAAGAAAGGTTCAACTCTCTGAGATGAATGTGCACATCACAAAGAAGTTTGTCATAAAGCTTCCGTCTAGTTTTTCTGTGAAGATATTCCCTTTTTCAACATAGGCCACAAACAAGTCCCAAATATCCCTTTGCAGATTCTACAAAAAGACTCTTTCCAAACAGCTCAATCAAAAGAAAGATTTAAGTCTGTGATTCGAATGGGCACTTCATAAAGAAGTTTCTCAGAAAGCCTCTCTCTAGTTTTTATGTGAAGATATTTCCCTTCTCACCACATTCCTCAAACCACTCAGAAATATCCCTTTGTAGATTCTACAGAAAAAAATGTTTCCAAATTGCTCAATCAAAAGAAAGCTTCAACCCTGTGATATGAATGCACACATCACAAAGAAGTTTCTCAGAAAGCTTCTGTCTAGTTTTTATGTGAAGATATTTCACTTTTCACCGTAGTACTCAAACCACTCCGAAATATCCCTTTACAGACTCTACAAGAAGACTGTTTCCAATTGCTCAATCAAAAGAAATGTTCAACTCTGTGAGATGAATGCACAGATCACAAAGAATTTTCTGAGAAAACTTCTTGCTAGTTTTTTGGTGAACATATTTTCTTTTTAACCATAGGCCTGAAAGGGCCCCTGAATATTCCTTTGCAGATCCCACAAAAAAGCTGTTTCCAAATTATTCAATCAAAAGAAGTGTTCAACTCTGTGAGATGAATGCACACATCACAAAGAAGTTTCTCAGAAAGCTTCTGTCTAGTTTTTATGTGAAGATATTTCCTTTTTCACCATGGGCCTAAAGGGCTCAGAAATATCCTTTTTCAGATTCTAGAAAAATATTGCTTCCAAATATCCATTTGCAGAATCTAGAAAAAGACTGTTTCCAAACTGCTCAATCAAAAGAAAGGTTCAACTCTATGACATGAATGCACACATCACAAATAACTTTCTCAGAAAGCTTCTCTATAGTTTTATGTGAAGGTATTTCGTTTTACACTATAGGCCTCAGGCCACTCAGACATATCCCTTTGCAGATTCTAGAAAGAGACTGTTTCCAAACTGCTCAATCAAAAGAAAGTTTCAACTCCGTGAAATGAATGCACACATCACAAATAAGTTTTTCAGAAACTTTCTGTCTCGATTTTATGTGAAGATATTCCCTTTTTCACCATAGACATCAAAGGGATCCCAAATATCCCTTTTCAGATTCTTTAAAAAGACTTTTTCCAAACTGCTCAATCAAAAGAAATATTCAACTCTGTGAGTTGAATGCAAACATAAAAAAGAAGTTCCTCAGAAACTTCTGTTTAGTTTTTATGTGAAGATAATTCCTTTTTCACCATGGGCCTAAAGGGCTCAGAAATATCCTTTTTCAGATTCTAGAAAAATATTGCTTCCAAACTGCACAATAAAAAGAAAGATTCACCTCTGTGAGGTGAATGCACACATCACAGAGAAGTTTCTCAGAAAGCTTCTGTCTAGTTTTTATGTGAAGATATTTCTTTGTTCACCATTGACATCAAACTGCTCAGAAATATGTCTTTGCAGATAATAGAGAAAGACTTTGCAAACTGCTCAATCAAAAGAAAGCTTCAACAATGTGAGATGAATGCACACATCACAAATAAGTTTCTCAGAAATTTTCTGTCTGGTTTTTATGTGAAGATATTTCCTTTTTCACCATAGTCCCCAAGCCACTCAGAAATATCCCTTTGCAGATTCTACAAAAAGACTGTTTCTGAACTGCTCAATCAAAAGAAAGGTTAAACTCTGTGAGATGAATGCACCCATCAAAATTAATTTTCTGAGAAAGCTTCTTTCTGGTTTTTATGTAAGATATTTCATTTTTCACCGTAGGCCTCAAAGGGCTCCCAAATATCCCTTTGCAGATTCTACAAAAAGACTGTTTCCAAACTGCTCAATCAAAAGAAATCTTCAACTATGTGAGATGAATGCCCACATCACAAAGAAATTTCTGGGAAAGATTCTGTCTAGTTTCTATATGAAGATATTTCCTTTTTCATCTTAGGCCTCAAACCTCTCAGAAATATCACTTTGCAGATTCTAGAAAATGACTGTTTCCAAACTGCTCAATCAAAACAAAGGTTCAACTCTGTGAGTTGCATCCACACATCACAAAGAAGTTTCTCAGAAAACTTCTGTCTAGTTTTTATGTGAAGATATTTCCTTTTTCACCATAGGACTCAAACAGCTCAGAAGTATCCCTTTGCAGATTCCACAGAAAGACTGTTTCCAAATTGCTCCATCAAAAGAAAGATTCAACTCTGTTGGATGAATGCACACAACACAAAGAAGTTTCTCAGAAAGCTTGTGTCTACTTTTTATGTGAACATGTTTCCTTTTTCACCAAAGGCCTCAAAATGCTCACAAATATCCCTTTGCAGATTCCTCACAAAGATGGTTTCCAAATTGCTCAATCAAAAGAAACTTTCAACTCTGTGAGATGAGTGCACACATCTCAAAGAATTTTCTGAGAAATCTTCTTACTAGTTTTTTGGTGAACATATTCCCTTTTTGACCATAGGACTCAAAGGGCCCTGATATATCCCCTTGCAGATGCTACAAAAAGACTGTTTCCAAACTGCTCAATCAAAATAAAACTCAATTCTGTGAGTTTAATGCACGTATCACAAAGAAGTTTCTCTGAAAGCTACTGTCTACTTTTTATGTGAAGATATTCCCTTTTTCAAAGTTGTCATTAAAGGGATCCTGAACATCCCTCTGCAGATTCTACAAAAAGACTGTTTCCAAACTGCTGAATCAATAGAAAGGCTCAACTCTGTGAGATGTATGCACACATCATAAATATTTTTCTCAGAAAGCTTCTGTCTAGTTTTATATGAAGATGTTTCCTTTTTCAACATAGGCCTCAAACCGCTCAGGAATATCCCTTTGCAGATTCTAGAAAAAGACCGTTTCCAAACTGCTCAATGAAAAGAAAGGTTCAATTCTGTGAGCTGAATGCACACATCACAAAGGAGTTTCTCAGAAAGCTTGTGTCTAGTTTTTATGTGAAGATATTTCCTTTCTCACCATAGGCCTCAAAATGCTCACAAATATCCCTTTACAGATTCTACGCAAAGACGGTTTCCAAACTGCTCAATCAAAAGAAACTTTCAACTCTGTGAGATGAATGTACACAACACAAATAATTTTCTGAGAAATCTTCTTCCTAGTTTTTTGGTGAATATATTCCCTTTTTCACCATAGGCCTCAAGGGGCCCCTAAATATCCCTTTGAAGATTCTACACAAAGACTGTTTCCAAACTGCCCAATCAAAAGAAAATCTCAAGTCTGTGGGTAGAATGCACGTATCACAAAGAAGTTTCTCTGAAAGCTACTGTCTACTTTTTATGTGAAGATATTCCCTTTTTCAAAGTTGTCATTAAAGGGATCCTGAACATCCCTCTGCAGATTCTACAAAAAGACTGTTTCCAAACTGCTGAATCAATAGAAAAGCTCAACTCTGTGAGATGTATGCACACATCATAAATATTTTTCTCAGAAAGCTTCTGTCTAGTTTTATATGAAGATGTTTCCTTTTTCAACATAGGCCTCAAACCGCTCAGGAATATCCCTTTGCAGATTCTACAAAAAGACTGTCTCCAAACTACTCAATCAAAAGAAAGGTTCAATTCTATGAGATGAATGCACGCATCACAAATAAGTTTCCCAGAAAGCTTCTGTCTAGTTTTAATGTGAAGATAATCTCATTCTCACCATAGGCCACAAAGCTTTCCCACATATCCCTATGCAGATTCTACAAAAAGACTGTTTCCAAACTGCTCAATCAAAAGAAAGGCTTAACTCCATGATGTCAATGTGCACATCATAAGGAAGTTTCCCAGAAAGCCTCTGTCTAGTTTTTATGTAAAGATATTTCCCTTTTCACCACAGGCCTCATACCGCTCAGAAATATCCCTTTGCAGATTCTACAGAAAAAATGTTTCCAAATAGGTCAATCAAAAGAAAGCTTCAACTCTATGAGATGAATGCACACATCATAAACAAGTTTTGCAGAAAGCTTCTGTCTAGTTTTTATGTAAAGATATTTCCCTTTTCACCACAGGCCTCAAACTGCTCACAAATATCCCTTGCAGATTCTACAGAAAAAATGTTTCCAAATTGCTCATTGAAAAGAAAGCCTCAACTCTGTGAGTTGAATGCACGCATCACAAAGAAGTTTCTCAGAAAGTTTCTGTCTGGTTTTTATGTGAAGATATTTCCTTTTTCACCGTGGGCCTCTAATGGTTCCCAAATATCCCTTTGCAGATTCTACAAAAAGACTTTTTCCACACTGCTCAATCAAAAGAAATTTTCAAATCTGTGAGATGAATGCACACATCACACAGAAGTTTCTCAGAAAGCTTCTGTCCAGTTTTATGTGAAGATATTTCCTGTTTTTCCATAGGCCTCAAACCGCTCAGAAATATCCCTTTGCAGATTCTAGAAAAATAGTGTTTCCATACTGCACAATCAAAAGAAATATTCAACGCTTTGAGATGAATGCACACATCACAAAGCAGTTTCTCAGAAAACTTCTGTCTAGTTTTTATGTGAAGATATTTCCTTGTTCACCATAGGCCTCAAACAGCTTAGAAAAATCTCTTTGCAGATTCTAGAAAAAGACTGTTTCCAAACTACTCAATCAAAAGAAAGGTTCAACTCTGTGACATGAATGCACACATCACAGATAAGTTTCTCAGAATGCTTTTGTCTAGTTTTTATGTGAAGATATTCCATTTTCACCATAGGTCTCAAAGGAATCCCAAGTATCCCTTTGCAGATTCTACAAAAAGACTGTTTCCAAACTGCTCAATCAAAAGAAAGATTCCAATCTGTGAGTTGAATTCACACATCACAAAGAAGTTTCTCAGAAAGCTTCTGTATAGTTTTTTTGAACATATATCCTTCTTCACCATGGGCCTCAAACCACTCAGAAGTATCCCATTGCAGATTCTATAAAAAATACTTTTTCCAAACTGTGCAAACAAAAGAAAGTTTCAACCCTGTGAGTTGAATGCACACATCACACAGAAGTTTCTCAGAAAGATTCTGTCTAGTTTTTTTGTGAAAGTATTTTCTTTTTCACCACATGCCTCAAACCGCTCAGAAATATCCCTTGCAGATTCTAGAAAAATACTGTTTCCAAATGACACAATTGAAAGATACAAGTCTGTGAGTTGAATGCACACATCACAAAGAAGTTTCGATGAAAGCTTCTGTCTAGTTTTTATGTGAAGATGTTTCCTTGTTCAACATAGGCCTCAAACCTTTCAGAAATATCCATTTGCAGATTCTAGAAAAAGATCATTTCCAAACTGCTCCATCAAAACAAATGTTCAACACTGTGAGTTGAATGCAAACATCACAAAGAAGCTTCTCAGAAAGCTTCTGTCTAGCTTTTATTTGAAGGTAGTTCCTTTTTCACCATAGGCCTCAAACCACTGAGAAATATCCCTTTCCAGATACTAGAAAAATAATGTTTCCAAACTGCACAATCAAAAGAAAGATTCAATTCATTAGATGAATGCACACATCATAAGGAAGTTTCTCAGAAAGCTTCTGTCTAGTTTTTATGTGAAGATATTTCCTTGTTCACCATTGACCTCAAACCACTCAGAAAGGCCTCTTGGCAGATACTAGAAAAAGACTGTTTCTAAACTGCTCAACAAAAGAAAGTTTCAACTCTGTGAGATGAATGCACACATCACACAGAAGTTTCTTAGAAAGCTTCTTTCTACTTTTTATGTGAAGATATTTCCTTTTTCACCATAGGCCACAAACTGCTCAGAAATATCCCTTTGCAGATTCTAGAAAAACACTGTTTCCATACTCCTAAATCAAAGGAAGTTTCAACTGTGTGAGACGTGTGCACGCATCACAAGGGATTTTCACAGAAAGTTTCTGTCTAGTTTTTATGTGAAGATATTCCCTTTTTCACCATAGGCCTCAAAGGGATCCCAAATATCCCTCTGCAGATTCTTTAAAAAGACTGTTTCAAAACTGCTCAATCAAAATAAATGTTCAACTTTGTGTGTTGAATGCAAACACCACAGAGAAGTTTCTCAGAAAGCTTCTCTCTAGCTTTTATGTGAAGGTGCTTATTTTTTCACCGTAGACCTCAAACCGCTCAGAAATATTCCTATGCAGATTATAGAAAAATACTGTTTTCAAACTGCAAAATCAAAAGAAAGATTCAACTCTGTGAGATAAATGCACATAACAAAAGAAGTTTCTCAGAAACCTACTGTTGAGATTTTATGTGAAGATGTTTCCTTTTACACCATAGGCCCCAGACAGCTAAGAAATATCCCTTTGCAGATTCTACAGAAACACTGTTTCCAAACTGATCAATCAAAATAAAGGTTGAACTCTGTGAGATGAATGCACACATCACACAAAAGTTTCTCAGAAATCTTCTGTCTAGTTTTTATGTGAAGATATCCCCATTTTCACCATAGGCCTCAAAAGGATGCCAAATATCCCTCTGCAGATTCTACAAAAAGACTGTTTCCAAACTGCTCAATCAAAAGGAAGTTTCAACTCTGTTTATAGAATGCATACATCACAAAGAAGTATCTCAGAAAGCTTCTGACTAGTTTTTAGGTGAAGATATTTCCTTTTTCACCATGGGCCTCAAACCACTCAGAAATATCCCATTGCAGATTCTAGAAAAACGCTGTTTCCAAACTGCTCCATCAAAAGAAAGTTTCAAATCGGTAAGTTGAAAGCACACAACATGAAGAAGTTTTTCAGAAAGCTTCTGTCTAGTTTTTATGTGAACATATTTCCTTTGTTACCATAGGCCCCAAAGGTCTCACAAATATCCCTTTGCAGATTCTACAAAAAGACTGCTTCCAAACTGCTCAATCAAAAGAAATTTCAAGTCTGTGAGTTGAATTCACACATCAAAAAGAAGTTTCTCAGAAAGCTTCTTTCCAGTTTTTATGTGAAGACCTTTTTCACCCTATGCCTTAAAGGACCCCAAATATCCCTTTGCAGATTCTACAAAAAGACTGTTTCCAAACTGCTCAATCAATAGAAAGACTCAAATCTGTGAGATGAATGCACACATCGTTAAGAAGTTTCCCAGAAAGCTTCTCTCTAGTTTTTATGTGAAGATATTTCCTTTTTCACCATAGGACATGCACTGCTTAGAAATATATCTTTGTAGATCCAGAAAAAGAGTGTTTCCAAACTGCTCAAAAAAAAGACAGCTTCAACTCTGTGAGATGAATGCACACATCATAAAGATGCTTCTCAGAATGGTTCTGTCTAGTTTTTATGTGAAGATATTTCCTTTTCCACTAGAGGCTGCAAACCGCTCCAAACATCCCTTTGCAGATTCTACAAAAGACTGTTCAAAATGCTCAATCAAAAGAAATGTTCAAATCTGTGAGATGAATGCACACATCACAAAAAATTTTCTGAAAAAGCTTCTGTCTAGCTTTTATGTGAAGATATTTCTTTTTCACCATAGGTCTCAAAAGGGCTCTGAAATATCCCTTTGCAGACACTAGAAAAGACTATTTCCAAACTGCTCAATCAAAATAAAGCTTCAACTTTGTGAGATCCATGCACACATCACAAATAAGTTTCGCAGAAAGCTTCTGTCTACGTTTTATCTGAAAATATTTCATTTTCACCATAGGCCTCAAATCGCTCAGAAATATCCCTTAGCAGATTCTAGAAAAATACTGTTTCCAAACTGCATAATCAAAAGAAAGATTCAACCCTGTGGGATGAATGAAGAAATCACAAAGAAGTTTCTCAGAAAGCTTCTGTGTAATTTTTATGTGAAGATATTTCCTTGTTCACCATAGGCACAAACTGTTTAGAAATATCACTTTGCAGATTCTAGAAAAAGACTGTTTCCAAACTGCTCAATGAAAAGAAACCTTCAACTCAGTAAGATGAATGCACACATCACAAAGAAGTTTCTCAGAAAAGTTCTGTCTAGTTTTTCTGTGAAGATATTTCCTTTTTCACCATAGGACTCAAACTGCTCAGAAATATCCCTTTGCAGATTCCAGATAAAGAGTGTTTCCAAACTGTCCAATCAAAAGAAAGGTTCAACTATGTGAGATGAATGCACACATCACAAAGAAGTTTCTCAGAAAGCTTCTGTCCAGTTTTTATGTGAAGATATTCCCTTTTTCATGACAGGCCTCAAAGGGATCTGAAATATCCCATTGCTGATTGCACAAAAAAACTGTTTCCAAACTGCTCTATCAAAAGAAAGGTTCAACTCTGTGAGATGAATGCACACATCAAAAACAAGTTTCTCAGAAAGCTTCTGTCTTGTTTTTATGTGAAGAATATCCCTTTTACACCACAGGCCATAAAGGGATCCCAAATATCCCTTTGCAGATTCTACAAAAAGACTGTTTCCAAATTGCTCAGTCAAAAGATAGTTTCAACTCTGTGAGATGAATGCACACATCCCAAGGAAGTTTCTCAGAAAGCTTCTGTGTAGTTTTTATGTGAAGTTATTTCCTTTAACATCATAGGCCACAAACCGCTCAGAAAAACCCCTTTGCAGATTCTACAAAAAGAATGTTTCCAAACTTCTGAAGGAAAAGCAAGGTTTAACTTTGAAAGCGGAATGCACACATCACAAAGAAGTTTCTCAGAAAACTTCTATATAGTTTTTATGTGAAGATATTTCCTTTTTCACCATTGGCCTCAAAGGGCTCCCAAATATCCACTTGCAGATTCTACAAAAAGAGTGTTTCAAAACAGTCTAGTTTTTATGTGAAGATATTCCATTTTTCACCATAGGCCTCAAAGTGATCCTAAATACCCCTTTGCAAATTCTGCAAAAAGACTGTTTCCAAACTGCTCAAAAAAAAGAAACGTTCAGCTCTGTGTGATGAATGAACACATCATAAAGAAGTTTCTCAGAAAGCTTCTGTCTAGTTTTTGTATGAAGATATTCCCATTTTCACCATAGCCCTCAAAGGGATCCCAAATATCCTTTTGCAGGTTCCACAAAATACTGTTTCCAAACTGCTCAATCAAAAGAAAGGTTCAACTCTCAGAGTTGAATGCATACATCACAAAGAAGTTTCTCAAAAACTTCTGTCTAGTTTTTATGTTAAGATATTTCGTTTTTCACCATAGGCCTCAAAGGGCTCCTAAATATCCCTTTGCAGATTCTACAATAAGACTATTTCCTAACTGCTCCATCAAAAGATAGTTTCAACTCTGTGAGATGAATGCAGTCATCACAAAGATGTTTCTTAGAAAGATTATGTCTCGTTTTAAAGTGAAGATATTTCTTTCTTCATCATAGGCCTCCAGCCTCTCAGAAACATCCCTTTACAGAATCTACAAAAAGACTGTTTCCAAGTACTCAAAGAAAAGAAAGGTTCAACTCTGTGAGTAAAATGCGCACATCAAAAAGAATTTTCTGAGAATGTTTCTGTCGAGTATTTATTTGAAGATATTTCCTTTTTCTCCATTGGACTCAAAGGGCTCCCAGATAACCCTTTGCAGATTCCTCAAAAATGTTGTTTCCAAACTGCTCAAACAAAAGAAAAGTTCAACTCTGTGAGATGAATGCACACATCATAAAGAAGTTTCTCAGAAAGCTTCTGTCTAGTTTTTATATGAAGATATTTTCTTTTTCACCATAGGCCTCAAACCACTCAGAAATATCCCTTTGCAGATTCTACAAAAAACTGTTTCCAAACTGCTCAATCAAAAGGAAGGTTCAACTTTGTGAGATGAATACCCACATCACAAAGAAGTTTCTGTGAAAAGTTCTGTATAGTTTTTATATGAAGATATTCCCTTTCTCACCTTTGGCCTCAACAGTATCCCAAATATCCCTTTGCAGATTCTGCAAAACGACTGTTTCCAAACTGCTCCATCAAAAGAAGCGTTCAACTCTGTGAGTAGAATGCACACATCACAAAGAAGTTTCTCAGAAAGCTTCTGTCTAGTTTTTATGTGAAGATATTCCCTTGTTCAGCATTGGCCTCAAAGGGATCAAAAATACCCCTTTGTAAATTCTACAGACAGACTGTTTCCAAAATGCTCAAAAAAAGAAAGGTTCAACACTCTGAGACGAGTGCACACATCACAAAGAATTTTCCGAGATAGCTTCTGTCTAGTTTTTATGTGAAGATATTTCCTTTTTCACCATAAGCCTGAAAGCACTCAAAATATCCCTTTGCAGATTCTACAAAAAAGACTGTTTGCAAACTGCTCAATTGAAAGAAAGTTTCCACTATGTGAGTTGAATGCAGAAATCTCAAAGTAGTTTCTCAGAAAGCTTCTGTCTAGTTTTTATTTATAGATATTTCCTTTTTCACCATAGGCCTCATACCTCTCCAAAATATCCCTTTGCAGATTCTAGAAAAAAACTGTTTCCAAACTGCACAATGAAAACAAAGGTTCAGCACTGTGAGATGAATGCATACATCACAAAGAAGTTTCTCAGAATGCTTCTGTCTAGTTTTTATGTGAAGATACTTCCCTGTTCACCATAGGCCTGAAACTGCTCAGAAATATCCATTTTCAGATTCTAGAATAAGAATGTTTCCAAGCTGCTCAATCAAAAGAGAGTTTCAACTCTGTGAGATGAATGCACACATCACAAAGAAGTGTCTCAGAAAGCTTCCATCTAATTTTCATGTGAACATATTTCCTTTTTCACCATAAGGCTCAAACCACTCAGGAACATCCCTTTGCAGATTCTATGAAAAGACTGTTTCCAAACTGCTCAATAAAAGGAAAAGTTCAAATCTGTGAAATGAATGCACACATCATAAAGAATTTTATGAGAGTGCTTCTGTCTAGTTTTTATGTGAAGATATATCCCTTTTCACCATAGGCCTCAAAGTGCTGCCATATATCCCTTTGTAGATACTACAAAAAGATCGTTTCCAAACTGCTCAATCAAAGGAAAGGTTCAAATCTGTGAGATGATTGCACACATTATAAAGAAGTTTCTCAGAAAGCTTCTTTCTAGTTTTTATATGAGGATATTTACTTTTTCACCATAGGCATCAAACTGCTCAGAAATATACCTTTGCAGGTTGTACAAAAAGACTGTTTCCAAACTGCTCAATAAAAAGAAAGGTTCCTTTCTGTGAGTTGAAAGCACACATAACAAACAAGTTTCTGAAAAAGCTTCTGTCTAGTTTTTATGTGAAGATAATTCCTTTTTCACCATAGGCCTCAAAGGAAATATCTTCACATAAAAACTAGACAGAAGATTTCTGAAAAACTTCTTTGTGATGTGTGCACTCATCTCACAGAATTGAACCTTTATTTTGATTCAGCTGTTTGGTAGCAGTCTATCTGTAGAATCTGCAAAGGGATATTTGAGATGCCTTTGAGGCCAACGGTGAAAAATGGAATATCTTCACATAAAAACTAGACAGAAGTTTTCCTGAGGAACTTATTTTTGATGTTTGCATTCATATGATACAGTTGAACCTTTCTTTTGATTGAGCAGTCTGGAAACAGTCTTTTTGCAATACAGCAAAGGGATATTCCTGAGTAGTTTGATGTCTATGGTGAAAAAGGAAATATCTTCACATAAAAACTAGACAGAAGCTTTCTGAGAAACTTCTTTGTGATGTTTGAATTCAACACAGAGATTTGAACCTTTCCTTTCATTCACCAGTTTGGAAACAGCCTTTTTATAGAATCTGCAAAGGGATATTTGGGATCCATTTGAGACCTATGGTGAAAAATGGAATATCTTCACATAAAAACTAGACAGAGTCTTTCTGAGAAACTTCCTTGTGGTGTGTGCATTCACCTCACAGAGTGGCAACTTTCTTTTGATTGAGCAGTTTGGAAACACTCTTTTTCTAGAATCTGCAAATGGATATTTCTGAGCCTTTTGAGGCATATTGTGAAAAGGGAAATATCTTCACAGAAAAACTAAAGAGAAGCTTTCTGAGAAACTTCTTTGTGATATGTGCATTCAACTCACAGAGTTGAACCTTTCTTTTGATTGAGCAGCTTGGAAAGAGTCTTTTTGTAGAATCCACAAAGTGATATTTGGGAGCCTTTGGAGGCCTATTGTGAAAAAGAAAATATCTTCACATAAAAACTGGATAGAAGCTTTTATAGAAACTTCTTTGTGGTGTGTGCATTCATCTCACAGAGTTGAACCTTTCTTTAGATTGAGCATTTTGAAAACAGTCTTTTTCTGGAATCTGCAAAGGTATATGTCTGAGTGGTTTGAGCCCCATGGTGAAAAAGGAAATATCTTCACATAAAAACTAGACAGAAAGTTTCTGAGAAACGCCTTTTGATGTTTGCATTCAACTCCCAGAGTTGAACATTTCTTTTGATTGAGCAGTTTGGAAACAGTCTTTTTCTAGAATCTGTAGTGGGATATTTGGGACCCTTTAAGGCCTATGGTGAAAAAGGAAATATCATCACATAAAAACTAGATGGACGCCTTCTGAGAAACTTCTTTGTGATATGCGCATTGAACTCACGGAGATGAACTTTTCTTTTGATTGAGCAGTTTGGAAATAATCTTTTTGTAGAATCTGAAAAGGGACATTTGGGATCCCTTTGAGGCCTAAGGTGAAAAAGTGTATAACTTCACATAAAAACTAGACAGAAGGTTTCTGAGAAACTTCTTTGTGATGTGGGCATTCATCTCACAGAGTTGAACCTTCCTTTTGATTGAGAAATTTGGAAACAGTCTTTTTGTAGGATCTGCAAAGGGATATTTCTGAGCGGTTTGAGGCGTATGGTGTAAAAGGAAATACCTCCGTATAAAAACTAGACTGTAACATTCTAAGAAACTTGTTTATGATGTGTGCCTTCATCTCACAGAGTTGAACATTTCTATTGATTGAGCAGTTTTGAAACAGTTTTTTTGTAGAATCTATGAAGGGATATTTGGGATCCCTTTAAGGCATAGGGTGAAAAAGGGGACATCTTCACATTAAGACTAGACAGAAGCATTCTGAGAAGCTTATTTTTGATGTGTGGATTCAACTCAAGGAATTGAACTTTTCTTTCAATTGAGCAGTTTGGAAACAGTCTTTTTGTAGAATCTTCAGAGGGATATTTGGGATCACTTTGAGGCCTATGTTCAAAAGGGAATATCTTCACATAAAGATGAGACAGAAGGTTTCTCAGAAAACCTTTGTGATGAGTGCATTCATCTCACAGAGTTGAACATTTTCTTAGATTGAGCAGTTTGGAAAACATCATTTTGTAGAAATATGCAAGGGATATTTCTGAGCAGTTGGAGGATATGGTGAAAAAGGAAATATCTTCCTCTAAATACTAAACAGAAACATTCTGTGAAACTTCATTGTGATGTGTGCATTCATCTGAAAGAGTTGAAGCTTTCTTTGGATTGAGCAGTTTGGAAATTGAAGCAGCCTTTTTCTAGAATCTGCAAAGTGATATTTCTGAGCAGTTTGAGGACTATGGTGAGCAAGGAAATATCTTCACATAAAAACTTGACAGAAGCTTTCTGAGAAACTTCTTTGTGATGCCTGCATTCATCTCACAGAGTTGAATCTACCTTTTAATTGGGAAGTTTGGAAACAGTATTTTTCTAGAATCTGCAAAGTGATATTTAGGAACCCTCTAAGTACTAGAATGAAAAAGGGAATATCTTCACATAAAAAAATAGGCAGAATCTTTCTGAGAAACTTCTTTCTGATGTGTGCATTCAACTCACAGACTTGAACTTTCCTTTTAATTGAGAAGTTTGGAAACAGTCTTTTTGTAGAATCTGTAAAGGGATATTGGGAGCCTCTTGTGGCCTATGGTGAAAAGGAAATATGTTCACATAAAAACTAGACAGAAGCTTCAGAGAAAACTTCTCTCTTATGTGAGCATTCATCTCACAGTGTTGAATCTTTCTTTTGGTGCAGCAGTTTGGAAACAGTCCTTTTGTAGAATTGCCAAAGGAATATTTGTGATCCCTTTGAGGCCCATGGTGAAAAAGGAAATATGTTCACATAAAAACTAGACAGAAGCTTTCAGAGAAACTTCTCTCTTATGTGTGCATTCATCTCAGTGTTGAACCTTTCTTTTGATTGAGCTGTTTGGAAACAGTCATTTTGTGGAATCTGCAAAGGGATATTTCTGAGCGTTTTGAGGCCTATGGTGAAAAAGGAAATATCTTCACATAAAAACTAGACAGAAGATTTCTGAGAAACTTCTTTGTGCTGTGTGCATTTATCTCACAGAGTTGAACCTTTCTTTTTATTGAGCAGCATGGAAACAGTCGTTTTCTAGGATCTGTAAAGGGATATTTCTGAGCATTTTGAGGCCTATGGTGAAAAAGGAACTATCTTCACATTAAAATTAGAGAGAAGCTTTCTGAGAAACTTCTTCATGATGTGTGCATTCAAATCACTGAGTTGAACCTTTCTTTTGATTGAACAATTTGGAAACAGTCTTTTTGTAGAATCTGCAAGGGATATTTGGGAGACATATCAGGCTTATTGTGAAAAAGGAAATATCTTCACATAAAAACTGTACTGAAGCCATCTCAGAAAATTCTTGTGTGCATTCATCTCAGAGAGTTGAATCTTTCTTTATTGAGCCCTTTGGAAGCAGTCTTTTTGTAGAATTTGTGAAAGGATATTTGGGATCCCTTTTAGGCCTATGGTGAAAAAGGAAATATCCTCCCATATAAACTAGACGGAAGCTTTCTGAGAAACTTCTTTGTGATGTGTGCATTCATCTCACAGAGTTGAACATTTCTTTTGATTGAGCAGTTTGGAAACAGTCGTTTTGTACAATCTGCAAAGGGATATTTGTGAGCCCATTGAGGCCTATGGGGAAATAGGAAATATCTTCAAATAAAAGTTAGAAACTTTCTGTGAAACTTCTTTGTGATGTGTGCATTCATCCCAAATAGATGAAACTTTCTTTTGATTGAGCAGGTTGCCAGCAGTCTTTTTCTAAAATCTGCAAAGGGATATTTCTGAGTGGTTTGAGGCCTATCGTGATGAAGGAAATATCTTCACATAAAAACTAGACAGAAGCTTTCTGAGATACTTCTTTTTGATGTGTGCATTCAACCCACAGAGTTGAACTTTTCTTTTGATTCAGTAGTTTGGAAACAGTCTTTAGGTAGAATCTTCAAAGTGCCACTTGTGATCCTTTTGAGGCCTATGGTGAAAAAGGAAATATGTTCATATAATTACTACACTGAATCTTTATGAGAAACTTCTTTGTGATGTGTACATTCAACTCACAGATTTGAAACTTTCTTTTGATTGAGCAGTTCGGAAACCGTCGTTTTTTAGAATCTGCGAAGGGATATTTCTGACCAGCTTCAGGCCTATGGAGAACACGGCATTATCTTCATATAAAAACTAGACAGAAGCTTCCTAAGAAACATCTTTGTGATGTGTGCATTCATCTCACAGAGCAGAACCTTTCTTTTGATTGTGCAGTTTGGAGACAGTCTTTTTCTAGAATAGGCAAAGGGATATTTCTGAGCATTTTGAGGCCTATGGTGAAAAAGTAAGTATCTTCTGATAAAAACCAGACAGAATGTTTCTGAGAAACTTCTTTATGATGTGTGCATTCCTCTCACAGAGTTGAGCCTTTCCTTTGATTGAGCAGTTTGTAAACAGTCTTTTTGTAGAATCTGCAAAGGGATATTTGGGAGCCCTTTGAGGTCTATGGTGAAAAGGTAAATATCTTCACATAAAAACTAGACAGAAACTTTCTCAGAAAATTCTTTTTGGCCTTTGCATTCATCTCACAGGGTTGAAACTTTCTTTTGATTGAGCAGTTTGGAAACAGTCTTTTTGTAGAATCTGCAAAGAGATATTTCTGAGCGGTTTGAGTCCTATGGTGAAAAAGTTATTATCTTCACATAAAAACTAGACAGAAGCTTTCTGAGAAACTTCTTTGTGATGGGTGCATTCATCTCACAGATTTGAAACTTTCCTTTGATTGGGCAGTTTGGAAACTGTCTTTTTATAGAATCTGCAAAGGGATATTTCTGGGCAGTTTGAGGCCTATGGTGAAATACAGAATATCTTCATATAACAACTAGACAGAAACTTTCTGAAAAACTTCTTTGTGATATGCGCATTCAACTAACAGAGTTGAACTTTCTTTTCATTGAGCAGTTTGGAAACATGTTTTTGTGGAATCTGCAAAGGGATATTTGGGATCCCTTTGAAGCCTACGGTGTAAAAGGAAATATCTTCACATAAAAAATAGACAGAAGCTTTCTGAGAAACTTCTTTGTGATGTGCACATTCATGTCACAGAATTAAACCTTTCTTTTGATTGAGCAGTTTGGAAACTGTCTTTTTGTAGAATATGCATAAGGATATTTCTGAACGATTTGTGTCCTATGGTGGAAAAGGAAATATTTTCACATAAAAACTAGACAGAAGCTTTCTGAGAAATTTCTTTATGATGTTTATATTCATTTCACAGAGTTGAAACTTTCTTTTGATTGAGCAGTTTGGAAACAGTCTTTTTGTAAAATCTGAAAAGGGATGTTTTGTATCCCTCTGAGGCCTATGGTGGAAAAGGGAATATCTTCCAATAAATACTAGACAGGAGCTTTCTGAGAAACTTCTTTGTAATGTGTGCATTCAACTGACAGAGGTGAACCTTCCTTTGATTGAGCCCTTTGGAAAGAATCTTTTTGTAGTATCTGCAAAGGGATATATGGGATCCCCTTGAGGGTTACAGTGAAAAAGAGTATATCTTCACATAAAAACTAGACAGAAGCTTTCTGAGAAACTTCTTTATTATGTATGTATTCATCTCACAATGTTCAACTTTTCTTTTGAGTAAGCAGTTTAGAAACAGTCTTTTTGTACAATCTGCAAAGTGATATTTCTGAGCGGTTTGAGGCCTATTGTGAAAAAGGAAATATCTTCTTATAAAAACTAGAAAGAAGGTTTCTGAGAAACTTCTTTATGATGTGTGATTCCTCTCACATTGTTGAACGTTTCCTTTGATTGAGCAGTTTGGAAACAGTCTTTTTGTAGAATCTGCAAAGGGATATTTGGGAGCCCTTTGAGACCTAAGGTGAAAAAGGGAATATCTTCACATAAAAACTAGACAGAAGTTCTCTGAGAAACTTGTTTGTTTCGTGTGCATGCAACTCACAGAGTTGAACCCTTCTTCTGATTGAGCAGTTACGAAACCGTCTTTTTGTACAATCTGCAAAAGGGATATTTCGGAGCCCTTTGAGGCCTATGGTGAGAAAGGCAATATCTTCACATAAAAACTAGACGGAAGCTTTCTGAGAAACATCCTTGTGATGAGTGCATTCATCTCACTGAGTTGAACCTTTCTTTTGATTGAGCAGTTTGGAAATAGTCTTCTTGTAGCATCTGCAAAGGATTATTTGGGATCCCTTGAGGCCTACGGTGAAAAAGGGAATGCATTCACATAAAAACTAGACAGAAGCTTCTGAGAAGCTTCTTTTTGATGTGTGCATTCATCTCACATTGTTGAAACTTACTTTTGATTGAAAAGTTTGGAAGCAGTCTTTTGCTAGAATATGCAAAGGGATATTTGGGAACCCTTTGAGGCCAATGGTGAAAAGGGAAATATCCTCACATAAAAACTAGACAGAAACTTACCAAGAAATTTTTTTTTGATGTTTGCATTCATCTCGCAAGGTTGAACATTTCTTTTGATTGAGCAGTTTGGAAACAGTCTTTTTGTAGAATCCGCAAAAGGATATTTCTGAATGGTTTGAGGCCTATGGTGAAAAAGGAATTATCTTCACATAAAAACCAAATA
Organism: Homo sapiens; assembly: GCF_000001405.40. Taxonomy (NCBI): domain Eukaryota; kingdom Metazoa; phylum Chordata; class Mammalia; order Primates; family Hominidae; genus Homo; species Homo sapiens. The sequence goes on from NC_000010.11 coordinate 39,396,784, forward strand.
GAAGCTTTCTGAGACACTTCTTTGTGATATGTGCATTCATCTCACAGAATGGAACCTTTCCTTTGATTGAGCAGTTTGGGATCCGTGTTTTTCTACAATCTGCAAAGAGATGTTTCTGAGCGATTTGAGGTCTATGTTGAAGAGGGAAATATTTTCACATAAAAACTAGAAGAAAGTTTTCTGAGAAACTTCTTGTTATGTGTGCATTCATCTCACAGTGTTGAACGTTTTTTTTTCATTGTGCAGTTTGGAAACAGTCTTTTTTATGCATTTGCAAAGGGCTATTTCTGTGCGGTTTGAGTCCTGTGGTGAAAAAGGAAATATCTTCATGTAAAAACTAGAAAGAAGATTTCTGAAAAACTTCTTTATGATGTGTGCATTCATCTCACAGACTTGAACCTTTCTTTTGATTGAGGAGTTTGGAAACAGTCTTTTTGTAGTATCTGCAAAGGGTTATTTAGGAACCCCTTCAGGCCTACAGTGGAAAAGGAAATATCTTAACATAAAAATTAGACAGAAGCTTTCTCAGGAAATTCTTTGTGATGTGTGCATTCATCTCACAGAGTTGAACCTTCCTTTGATTGAGGAGTTTGGAAAGCGTCTTTTTGAGAATCTTCAAAGGGATATTTTTGAGCGGTTTGGGGCGTACGGTGAAAAAGTAAATATTTTCACATAAAAACTCTGCAGAAGCTTCCTGAGGAACTTCTTTGTGATGTGTTCATTCATCTCACAGAGTGGACCCTTTCTTTTGATTGAGTAGTTTGGAAACAGTCTTTTTGTAGAATCTGCAAAGGGATATTTGAGGGTGCTTTGAGGCCTATGGTGAAAAAGAAATATCTTCATATGAAATCTAGACAGAAGGTTTCTGAGAAACTTAATTGTGATTCGTGCATTCATCACACAGAGTGGAACCTTTCCTTTGATTAAGCATTTTGGAAACACTCTTTTTGTCAAATCTGGAAAGGGATATTTTGGAGCCCTTTTAGGCAAACAGTGAGAAAGGAAATATCTTCACAAAAAAGCTAGACAGAAGCTTTCTGAGAAACTTCTTTGTGATGAGTTAATTCATATCACAGAGTTGAAACTTTCTTTTGATTGAGAGGTTTGGAAACTGTCTTTTTCTAGAATCTGCAAAGGGATATTTCTCAGCAGTTTGAGACCTATGGTGAAAAAGGAAATATCTTCATATAAAAACGAGACAGAAGCTTTCTGAGAAACTTCTTTGCATTGTGTGCATTCAACTCACACTGTTGAACCTTTCTTTTGATTGAGCAGTTTGGAAACAGTATTTTTGTAGAATCCACAAAGGGATATTTGGGATCCCTTTAGGTCTATGGTGAATACCAGAATATCTTCACATAAAAACTAGATGGAAGTGTTCTGAGAAATTTCCTTGTGCTGTGTGCATTCATCTCACAGTGTTGATCCTGTCTTTTCATTGTGCAGTTTGGAAACATTCCTTTTCAAGCATCTGCAAAGAGATATTTCTGAGCGGGTTGAAGCCTGTGGTGAAAAAGGAAATATCTTCACATGAAAACTAGACAGAAGCTTTCTTAGAAATTTCTTTGTGTTGTGTGCTTTCGTCTCATAGAGGTGAAAAACTTCCTTTTGATTGAGAATTTTGCATACAGTCTTTTTGGAGAATATGCAAAGGGATATTTCTGAGTGATTTGAGGCCCATGGTGGAAAAGGAAATATCTTCACATAAAAACTAGATGGAAGCTTTCTCAGAAAATTGTTTGTGAAGTGTGCATTCAACCCATAGATATGAACCTTTCTTTTGATTGAGCAGTTTGGAAAGAATCGTTTTGTAGGAACTGCAAATGGATATTTGGGATCCCTCTGAGGGCTATGGTGAAAAAGGGAATATCTTCAGGTAAAAACTAGGCAGAAGTATTCTGAGAAACTTCTTTGTGATGTGTGCATTCATCTTACAGTGTTGAACCTTTCTATTGATTGAGCAGTTTGGAAACATTCTTTTTGTACAATCTGCAATGGGCTATTTCTGAGTGGTTTGAGGACTATGGTTAACAGGAAAATATTTTCACATAAAAACAAGATGGAAGTTTTCTAAGAAACTTCTTAGTGATGGTTGCATTCATCTCACAGTGTTGAACCTTTGTTTTCATTGTGCAGTTTGGAAAGAGTCTTTTTCTAGCATCTGCAAAGCGATATTTCTGAGCCGTTTGAGGCCTAATGTGAAAAAGTGAATATCTTCACATAAAAACTAGACAGAAGCTTTCTGAGAAACTTCTTCGTGCTGTTTGCATTCAACTCACACAGTTGATAATTCCTTTTGATTGAGCAGTTTTGAAACAGTCTTTTTATAGAATCTGCAAACGGATATTTGAGATCCCTTTGAGGCTCATGGTGAAAAAGGGCATTTCTTCACATAAAAATTAGACAGTTTTCTGAGAAAATTCTTTGTGATGTGTGCATTCTTTTCACAGAGTTGAACCTTTTTTTGATTGAGCAGTTTGGAAACAGGCTTTCTGTAGAATCTGCAAAGGGATAGGAACTCTTTGAGGCCTAAGGTGAAAAAGGAAATATTATCACATAAAAACTAGACAGAAGATTTCTCGGAAAATTCTTTGAGATGCATGCATTCATTTCACAGAGTTGAATCTTTCTTTTGATTGAGCAGTTTGGAAAAAGTCTTTTTGGAGAAACTGCGAAGGGATATTTCTGAGTGCTTTGAGACCTATGGTGAAAAAGGAAATATCTTCACATAAAAACTAGACAGAAGATTTCTGAGCAACTTGTTTGAGATGAGTACATTCATCTCACAGATTTGAAATTTCCTTTGATTAAGCAGTTTTGAAACAGTCTTCTTTTAGAGTCTGCAAAGGGATATATGTGAGCCGTTTGAGGCCTATGGTGAAAAAGGAAATATCTTCACATAAAAACTAGGCAGAAGATTTCTGAGAAACTTCTTTGTGATATGTACATTCAACTCTCAGAGTTGAACATTTCTATTGAATGAGCAGTTTTGAAACCATCTTTTTATAGAATCTGCAAATGGATACTTCAGAGCCCTTTGAGGCCTATGGTAAAAAAAGAAATATCTTCACATAAAAACTAGACAGAAACTTTCTCAGAAAATTCTTTGTGATGTGTGGATTCATCTCACAGAGTTGAAACTTTGTTTTGATTGAGCAGTTTGGAAACAGTCTTTTTGTAGAATCTGCAAACATATATTTGGGATGCCTTTGAGGCCTACTGTGTAAAGGAATATCTTCACATACAAACTAGAAAGAAGCTTTCTGAGAAACCCCTTCGTGATGTGTGAATTCAACTCACAGAGCGAAATTTTCTCATGATTGACCAGTTAGGAAACAGTATTTTTTTTAGAATCTGCAAAGGGATATTTGGGAGCCCTTTGAGGCCTATGGTAAGAAAGGAAATATGTTCACATAAAAACAAGACAGAAGATTTCTGAGAAACTTCTTTGTGATGATTGCATTCATCTCACAGAGTATAACCTTTCGTTTGATTGAGCAGTTTGGAAACAGTCTTTTTGTGGAACTTGAAAAGAGATGTTTGGGAGCCCTTTGAGGCCTACAGTGAAAAAGGAAATATCTTCATAAAAAAACTAGACAGAAAGTTTCTGAGAAACTTCTTTATGATGTGTGCATTCAACTCACTATGTTGAACCTTTCTTTTGTTTGAGGAGTTTGGAAACAGTCTTCTTGTAGAATCTGCAAAGGGATATTTGGGAACTCTTTGATGCCTATGGTGAAAAAGGAAATATCATCACTTAAAAACTAGACAGAAGATTTCTCAGAAAATTCTTTGTGATGTGTGCATTCATCTCACAGAGTTAATCCTTTCTTTTGATTGAGCAGTTTGGAAAAATCTTTTTGTAGAATCTACAAAGGGATATTTCTGAGTATTTTGAGGTATACGGTGAAAAAGGAAATATCTTCACATAAAAACTAGAGAGAAGTTTTCAGAGAATCTTGTTTGACATGTGTGCATTCAGCTCACAGAGTTGAAATTTCCTTTGATTGAGCAGTTTGGAAACAGTCTTTTTCTAGAATATGCAGAAGGTTATTTCTGAGCTTTTTGATGCCTATGGTGATAAAGGGCATATCTTCACATAAAAACCAGACAGAGGCTTTCTGAGAATTGTCTTCATGCTGTGTGCTTTCACCTCCTGGGGTAGAACATTTCTTTTGAATGAGCAGTTTGGATACAGTCTTTTTATAGAATATGCAAACGGATATTTCGGAGCCCTATGAGGCTGTAGTGAAAAAGGAAATACCTTCACATAAAAATTAGACAGAAGTTTTCTCATAAAATTCTTTGTGATGTGTGTATTCATCTCACAGAGCTGAACCTTTCTTTTGATTGAGCAATTTGGAAACAGTCTTTTTGTAGTATCTGCAAGTGGATATTTGGAGCACTTTGAGGCCTATAGTGGAAAAGGAAATATCTTCACATAAAAACTAGACAGAAGCATTCTGAGAAACTTCTGTGATTTGTGCATTCATCTCACAGAGTTGAACCTTTCTTTTGATTGAACAGTTTGGAAACAGTCTTTTTGCAGAATCTGCAAAGGGATATTTGGGATCCCTTTGAGACCTCTGATGAAAAACGGAATACCTTCACATAACAACTGGACAGAATCACTCTGAGAAACCTCTTTGTGATACGTGCATTCAACTAACAGAGTTGAACCTTTCTTTTGATTGAGAAGTTAGGAAAGTGTGTTTTTCTAGAATCTGCAAAGGGATATTTGGGAGCCCTTTGAGGCCTATGGTGAGAAAGGAAATAACTTCCCATGAAAACTAGATAGAAGCTTTCTGAGAAATATCTTTGTGATGAGGACATTCACCTAACAAAGTTGAAACTTCCTTTTGATTGAGCAGTTCAGAAACAGTCTTTTTGTAGAAACTACAAACGGATATTTGGAGTGCTTTGAGGCATATGGTGAAAAAGGAAATATCTTCACATAAAAACTAGACAGAAGCTCTCTGAGAAATTTCTTTGCAATGTGTGCATTCAACTCAGAAAGTTTAACCTTTCTTTTGATTGAGCAGTTAGGAAACCGTCTTTTTATACACTCTGCAAAGGGATATTTGGGATCCCTTTGAGGTCTATTGTGAAAAAGGGAATATATTCAAATAAAAACTATACTGAAACTTTCTGAGAAACTTCGTTTTGATGTCTGCAATTATCTCACAGAGTTGAAACGTTCTTTTGATTGAGAAATTTGGAAATATTCTTTTTCTGGAATCTACAAAGTGATATTACTGAGTGGTTTGAGGCCTATGGTGAAGAAGGCAGTATCAACATATAAAAACTATACAGAAGATTTGTGAGAAACTTCTTTATGATGTGTGCATTAATCACACAAAGTTGAACCTTTCTTTTTTGAGCAGTTTGGAAACAGTCTTTTTTTAGAATTTACAAAGTGGTATGTGGGATCCCTTTGAGGTCTATGGTGAAAAGGGAATATGTTCACATAAAAACTGGACAGAAGCTTTCAGAGAAACTACTTTGTGATGTGTGCATTCAACTCACAGAGTTTAAAATTTCCTTTGATTGAGCAGTTTGGCAACAGTCCTTTTGTAGAATCTGCAAAGGGATATTTGGGAGACATTTGAGGACTACTGTGAAAAAGGAAATATCTTCACATAAAAACTAGACAGAAGATTTCTGAGAAACTTATTTGTGATATCTGCATTCATCTCACAGAGTTGAATCTTTCTTTTGATAGAGCAGTTTGGAAACAGTCATTTTGTAGAATCTGCAAAGGGATATTTCTGAGCAATTTGAGGCCTATGATGAAAAAGGAAATATATTCACATAAAAACTGGACAGAAACTTTCTGAGAAACATCTCTGTGATGTGTGCTTTCATCTCACAGAGTTGCAACTTTATATTGATGGAGCAGTTTGAAAAGAGTCATTTGAAGAATCTGCAAATGGATATTTGGACCACTTTGTGGCCTATGGTGAAAAAAGAAATAGCTTCACATAAAAACTAGACAGAAGAATTCTGAAAAACTTCTTTGTGATGTTTGCATTCATCTCACAGGATTGAACGTTTCTTTTGATTGAGCAGTTTGGAAACACTGTTTTTGTAGTATCTGCAAATGGATATTTGGAGCGCTTTGAGGCCTATGGTGAAAAAGGAAATATCTTCACATAAAAACTACACAGAAGCATTCTGAGAAACTTCTTTGTGCTGTGTGCATTCATCTCACAGTGTTGAACGCTACTTTTTATTGAGCAATTGGGAAACATTCTTTCTGTAGAATCTGCAAGCAGATATTTAGAGCACTTTGAGGCCTATGGTGGAAAGAAAATAGCTTCACATAAAAACTAGACAGAAGCATTTTGAGAAACTTCTTTGTGATTTGTGCATTCCTCTCACAGAGTTGAACATTTCTTTTGGTTGAGCAGTTTGGTAACTGTCGTCATGTGGAATCTGCAAAGGGATAAATGCGAGCCCATTGAGGGCTGTGGGAAATATTAAATATCTTCACATAAAAACTAGACAGAAACATTTTGAGAAACTTCTTTGTGATGTGTGCTTTCCTCTCACAGATTTGAAACTTTCTTTTGATTAAGCAGTTTGGAAACAGTCTTTTTGTAGAAACTGCAAATGGATATTTGGAGTTCTTTGAGGCCTATGGTGAAAAAGGGAATATCTTCACATAAAAACTAGACAGAAGCATTCTGAGAAACTTCTTTGTGATGTGTGCATTCACCTCACAGGGTTGAACCTTTCTTTTGATTGAGCCATTGGGAAACAGTCTTTTTGTACTATCTGCAAATGGATATTTGGAGCCCTTTCTGTCATATGGTGAAAAAGGAAATATCTTCACATAAAAACTAGTCAGAAGCATTCTGAAAAACTTCTTTGTGATGTTTGCATTGAACTCACAGAGTTGAAACTTTCTTTTCATTGAGCAGTTTGAAACACTCTTTTTGCAGAATCTGCAAGTGGATATTTGGAGGGCTTTGAGGCCTATGTTGGAAAAGGAAATATCTTCAAATAAAAACTAGACAGAAGCATTCTGAGAAACTTCCTTGTGATGTGTGCCTTCATCACACAGAGTTGAACCTTTCATTTGATTCAGCACTTTGGAAACAGTCGTTTTGTAGAATCTGCAAAGGAATATTTGTGACCCTTTTGTGGCCTATGGGGAAAGAGAAATATCTTCACAAAAAAAACTAGACAGAAGATTTCTGAGAAGCTTCTTTGTGATGCCTGATTTCATCTCACAGAATTGAACATTTCTTTTGACCGAGCAGTTTGGAAACACTCTTTATTTAGTATCTGCAGAGGGATATTTTCGAGCCGTTTAATGCCTATGGTGAAAATGGAAACATCTTCACATAAAAACTAGACAGGAACTTTCTGAGAAACTTCTTTGTGATGTGAGCATTCATCTCACAGAGTTGTGCTTTTCTTTTGAATGAGCAGTTTGAAAACTGTCTTTTTGTATTATCTGCAAATGGATATTTGGAGCGCTTTGATGCCTATGGTAATAAAGGAAATATCTACACATAAAAACTAGACAGAAGCATTCTGAGACACTTCTTTGTGATGAGTGAAATCAAATCAGAGTGTTGAACATCTCTTTGATTATGCAGTTTGGAAACAGTCTTTTGGTAGAATCTGCAGAGAAATATTTGTGAGCCCATTGAGGCCTATGGGGAAATAGGAAATATCTTCCAATAAAACGTAGACAGAAAGTTGCTGAGAAACTTCTTTGCGATGTGTGCTTTCATCTCACAGAGGTGAAACTTTCTTTTGTTTGAGCAGTTTGGAAACAGTCTCTTTGTAGAATCTGCAAATTGATATTTGGAGCACTTTGAGGCCTATGGTGGAAAAGGGAATATCTTCACATAAAAACGAGACAAAATCATTCTGAGGAACTTCTTTGTGATGTGTGCATTCATGTCACAGAGCTGAACATCTCTTTTGATTGACCAGTTTGGAAGCCATCATTTTGTAGAATCTGGAGAGTTATATTTGTTAGCCCTTTGAGGCCTATGAGGAAATAGGAAATATCTTCACATAAATAATACGCAGAAATTTTCTGAGAAGCTCCTTTGTAATGTGTGCTTTTATCTCACAGAGTTGAAATTTTCTTTTCATTAAGCAGTTTGGAAACAGTCTTTTTGTAGAATCTGTAAATGTATATTTGCAGCACTTTGAGGACTATGGTGAAAAAGGAATTATCTTCACATAAAAATCAGAAAGAAGCATTCTGAGAAACTACTTTGTGATGTGTGCATTCATCTCACAGAGTTGAACCTTTCTATTCATTGAGTTGTTTGGAAAAACGCTTTTGGTAGAATCTGCAAGTGGATATTTGAAGCGCTTTGAGGCCTATGGTGGAGAAGGAAATATCACCACATAAAAACTATACAGAAGCATTTGGAGAAACTTCTTTGGATGTGTGCATTCATCTCACAGTGTTGAACCTTTCTTTTCATTGAGCAGTTTTGAAACATTTTTTGTAGAATCTGCAAGTGGATATTTGTATCGCTTTGAGGCCTATGGTGGAAAATGAAATATCTTCACATAAAAACGAGACAGAAGCATTCTGAGAAACATCTTTGTGATGTGTGCACTTATCTCACAGAGTTAAAATTTTCTTTTGACTGAGCATATTGGAAAGACTCGTTTAGTAGAATCAGCAAAGGGAATTTGTGACCCCATTGAGGCCTATGGGGAAACAGGAAATATCTTCACATGAAAACTAGACAAAAATTTTCTGAGAAACTCATTTGTGATGTGTGCTTTCATGTCACAGAGTTGAAACTTCCTTTTTAATGAGTATTTTCGAAACAGTCTTTATGTAGAATCTGCAAATGGATATTTGGAGCACTTTGAGGCATACGGTGTGAAAGGAAACATTTTCAAATAATAACTAGGCAGAAGCATACTGAGAAACTTCTTTGTGATGTGTGCATTTATCTCACAGAGTTGAAACATTCTTTTGATTGAGCAGTTTGGATACACACTGTTGTAGAATATGTAAGTGGATATTTGGAGCACTTTGAGGCCTACGAAGGAAAAGGAAATATCTTCAAATAAAAACTAAACAGAAGCATTCTTAGAAACTTCTTTGTGATGTGTGCATTCATCTCAGATAATTTAAACTTTCTTTTTATTGAGCAGTTTTGAAACACTCTTTTTGTAAAATCTGCAAGTGGATATTTGGAGTGCTTTGAGGCCTATGGTGTATGAGGAAATATGTTAACATAAAAACTAGAAAGAAACATTCTGAGAAACTTCTTTGTGATGTGGGCATACATCTCAGGGAGTTTAACATTTATTTTGGTTGAGCATTTTGGAAACAGTCGTTTTGTAGAAGTGCAAAGCGAAAATTGTGAGCCCATTGAGGACTACGTGGAAACAGGAAATATCTTCACATAAAACCTAGGTAGAAACTTTGTGAGAAACTTCTTTGTGATGTGTGCTTTCATCTCACAGAGTTGAACCTTTCTTTTGATTGAGCAGTTTGGAAACAGTCTTTTTGTAGAATCTGCAAATGGAAATTTGGAGTGCTTAGAGGCCTATGATGAAAAAGGAAATATTTTCACATAAAAACTAGACAGAAGCATTCCAAGAAAATTCTTCATGATATGTGCATTCATCTCACAGAGTTGAACCTTTCTTTTGATTGAGCAGTTGGGAAACAGTGTTTTTGTAGTATCTGCACATGGATATTTGGAGCACTTTGATGCCTATTTTGAAAAAGGAAATATCTTCATATAAAAACTAGACAGAAGCATTCTGAGAAACTCCTTTGTGGTGTGTGCATTCATCACATAGTTGAACCTTTTTTTTTGATTCAGCAGTTTTGAAACGCTCTTTTTGTAGCAACTGCAGGTGGATATCTGTAGTGCTTTGAAGCCTGTGGTGGAATGGGAATTATCTTCCCATAAATACTAGACAGAAGCATTCTGAGAAACTTCTTTGTGATGTGTGTGTTCTTCTCACAGAGTTAAACATTTTTTTTGATTCAGCAGATTGGAAACAGTCATTTGGTAGAATCTGCAAAGGGATACTTGTGAGCCCATTGAGGCCTATGGGGAAATAGGAAATATCTTCATATAAAAACCAGATGGAAGCATTCTGAGAAACTTCTTAGTGATTGGTGCTTTCCTCTACCAGAGTTGAACTTTTCCTTTCTTTGAGAAGATTGGAAAAAGCCTTTTTGTGTAATCTGCAAGTGGATATTTGGAGTGCTTTGAGGCCTATGGTGGAAAAGAAAATATCTTCACATAAAAAATAGAAGCATTCTGAGAAACTTCTTCATGATGTTTCCATTCATGACCCAGAGTTGAACCTTTCTTTTGATTGAGCAGTTTTGAAACAGGCTTTATGTAGAATCTGCAAGTGGATATTTGGAGCGCTTTGAGGCCTATGGTGGAAAGGAATTATCTTCACATAAAAACAGGGCAGAAGCATTCTGAGAAACTTCTTCATGATGTATGCATTCATCTCACAGAGTTGAACATTTCTTTTGATTGAACTGCTTGGAAACAGTCATTTTGTAGAATATGCAAAGAGATGTTTGTTAGCCCTTTGAGGCCTATCATGTAATAGGACATAACTTCACATAAAAACTAGACAGACTCATTCTGAGAAACTGCTTTGTGATGTGTGCAATTCATCTCACAGTGTTGAACTTTCTTTTGATTGAGCAGTTTTGAAACAATCTTTTTGTAGTATCTGCAAATGGATATTTGGAGCACTTTGAGGCTTTCAGTGGAAAAGGAAATATCTTCACATGAAAACTAGACAGAAGCTTTTTGAGAAACTTATTTGTGACGTGTGTATTCATCTCACACAGCTAAGAGCAGTTTTGACACACTCTTTTTGTAGAATATGCAAAGGGATATTCCAGAGCAGTTTGAGGCCTATGGTGAAACAGGAAATATCTTCATATAAAAACTAGACAGAATCTTTCTGAGAAACATCTTTATGATGTGTGCATTCATCTCAAAGAGTTGAAATTTTCTTTTGATTGAGCAGTTTGGAAACAGTGTTTGTTTAGAATCTGCAATGGGATATTTCTGATCGGTTTGAGGCCTATGGTGAAAAAGGAAATATCTTCACTTAAAACTGGACAGAAGATTTCTGAGAAACTTCTTTGTAATGAGTGCATTCATCTCAAAGAGTTGTAACTTTCTTTTGATTGAGCAGTTTGGAAAAAGTCATTTCATAAAATCTGCAATGGAATATTTGAGGGCGTGTTGAATCTTATGTTGAAAAAGGAAATATCTTCAAAAAAAAACTAGACAGAAGGTTTCTGAGAAACAACTTTTTGATGCGTGCATTCCTCTCACAGAGTTGAAGCTTTTTTTTTGATTGAGCGGTTTGGAAAAAGTCTTTATGTAGAAACTGCAAAGGGATATTTCTGAACTGTTTGAGACATATGGTGAAAAAGGAATTATCTTCACAAAGAAATAGACAGAAGCTTTCTGAGAAACTTCTTTGTGATGTGTGCAATCATCTCACAGAGTTGAACCTTACTTTTGATTGAACAGTTTGGAAAGAGTCTTTTTGTAGTCTGCAAATGGGTATTTGGGAGACTTTTGAGGCCTGTGGTGAAAATGGGAATATCCTCACATAAACACTAGACAGAAGCTTTTGACGAACTTCTTTTTGATGTGTGCATTCATCTCACAGAGTTGAATTTTTATTTTGATTGAGCAGTTTGGAAACATTCTCTTTGTGGAATCTGCAAAGGGACACTTGGGGGCGCTTTGATGCCTATGGTGGAAAACCAAACATCTTTGCATAAAAACTAGAGAGAAGCTTTCTGAGAATATTCTTTGTCATGAGTGCATTCACCTCACAGATTTGAGACTTTCTTATGACTGAGCAGTTTGTAAACAGTTTTTTCCAGAATCTAAAAAGGGATATTTGGGAGCCCTTTGAGGCCTATGGTGAAAAAGGGAATATCTTCACATAAAAACTAGACAGAAGGTTTCTGAGAAACTTCTTTGTGATGTGTGCACGCATCTCACAGAGTTGAACCTTTCTTTTGATTGAGCAGTTTGGAAACAGTCTTTTTCTATAATCTGCAAGGGGATATTTCTGAGTATTTTGAGGCCTACGGTGAGTAAGGAAGTATCTTCACATAAAAACTAGACAGAAATTTTCTGGGAAACTTCTTAGTGATGCATGCATTCAACTGACAGAGTTAAACTTTATTTTTGAATGAGCAGTTTGGAAACAGTATTTTTGTAAAATCTGCAAAGGGATATTTTGGATCCCTTTGAGGCCTATGGTGAAAAAGGAAATATCTTCACATAAAAACTAGACAGAAGGTTTCTGAGAAACTTCTTTGTGTTGTGTGCATTCATCTCAAAGAGTTCAACCTTTCTTTTGATTGAGCAGTTTGGAAACAGTCTTTTTGTAGAATGTGCAAAGGGACATATCTGAGCGATTTGAGGCCTATGGCAGAAGAGGAAATATCTACATATAAAAATTAGACAGAAGCTTTCTGAGAAACCTCGTTCTGATGTCTGCATTCATCTCACAGAGGTGAAACTTTCTTTTGATTGCCCAGTTTGGAAACAGTGTCTTTGTAGAATCTGCAAGGGGATGTTTCGGAGCCCTTTGGGGCCTATGTTGAAAAAGGAAATATTTTCACATAAAAACTAGCCAGAAAGTTTCTGAGAAACTTCTTTGTGATGCGGCCATTTATCTCACAGAGTTGAATCTTTCTTTTGATTGAGTAGTTTTGAAACAGTCTTTTTTGCAGAATTTGCAAAGGGATATTTCTGAGCGGTTTGAGGCCTATGGTGAAAAAGGAAATATATTCATATAAAAAGCAGACAGAAGTTTTCTGGATACTGTTTTGTGATGTATGCTTTCTCACAGAACTGAAACTTTCTTTTGATTGAGCAGTTTGGAAACAGTCTTTTTGCAGAATCTGCAAAGGGATATTTCTGAGCAGTTTGAGGCCTATGGTGAAAAAGGAAATATCCTCACATAAAAAGTAGACAGAAGATTTCTGAGAAACTTC
>NC_000010.11:39410237-39479351 GCF_000001405.40 Homo sapiens
ACTAGACAGAAGCTTTCTGAGAAACTTCTTTGTGGTGTGTGCCTTCATCTCACAGAGTTGAAACTTTCTTTTGATTGAGCAGTTTGGAAACCATATTTTTCTAGAATCTGCAAAGGGATATTTCTGAGCGATTTGAGGTCTATGGTGAAAAAGGAAATATATTCACATAAAAACTAGACAGAAGCTTTCTGAGAAACTTTTTTTGTGATGTGTGCATTCGTCTCACAGATTTCAACTTTTCTTTTTGATTGAGCAGTTTGGAAACAGTCATTTTCTAGAATGTGCAAAGGGATATATCTGAGCGGCTTGAGTCCTATGGTGAAAAGGGAAATATCTTCACTTAAAAACTAGACAGAAGAGTTCTGAGAAACTTCTTTGTGATGTTTGCATTCAACTCACAGAGTTGAACATTTCTTTTGATTGAGCAGTTTGGAAACAGTCTTTTTAACGAATCTGCAAAGGGATATTTGGGATCTCTTTGAGGCCTATGGTGAAAAAGGGAATATCTTCACATTAAAACTAGACAGAAGCTTTCTGAGAAACTTCTTTGTGATGAGTGCATTCATCTCACAGAGATGAAACTTTCTTTTGATTAAACAGTTTGAAACAGTGTTTTCCTAGAATCTGCAAAGGGATATTTCTGATTGGTTGGAGGCCTATGGTGAAAAAGGAAATATCTTCACATGAAAACTAGAGAGAAATTTCTTAGGAAATTCTGTGTGATGTGTGCATTCATCTCACAGAGTTGACCCTTTCTTGTGATTGAGCAGTTTGGAAACAGTCTTATCATAGAATCTGCAAAGGGATATTTCGGAGACCTTGGAGGAATATGGTGAAAAAGCAAATATCTTCATATAAAAATTGGACAGAAGCTTCTGAGAAACTTATGATGTGTGCATTCATCTCACAGGTTTGAACCTTTCTTTTGATTGAGCAGTTGGGAATCAGTCCTTTTCTAGAATCTGCAAAGGGTTATTTCTGAGTGGTTTGAGGCCTATGGTGAAAAAGGAAATATATTTACATCAAAAGTAGACAGAAGCTTTCTGAGAAACTCCTTTGTGATGTGTACATTCAATTCACAAAGTTGAACCTTTCTTTTGATTAAGCAGTTTGGAAACAGTCTTTTTATAGAAGGTGCAAAAAGGTTATTTCAGATCCTTTTGAGGCCTATGCTGAAAAAGTAATATCTTTATATAAAAAATAGACAGACGTGTTTTGAGAATCTCCTTTGTGATGATTGTATTCATCTCATAGATTTGAAACTTTATTTTGATTGAGCAGTTTGGAAACAGTCTTTTTCTAGAATCTGCAAAGGGATATTTCTGAGCAGTTTGAGGCCTATGGTGAAAAAGGAAATATCTTCACATAAAAACTAGACAGAAGCTTTCTCAGAAATTTCTTTGTGATGTGTGCATTCATCTCACAGAGTTGAAACTTTCTTTTGATTGAGCAGTTTGGAAGCCATCTTTTTGTAGGGTCTGCAATGGGATATTTGGGATCCCTTCAGGACTATGGTGAAAAAGGAAATGTCTTTACATAAAAACTAGACAAGACCTTTCTGAGAAACTTCTTTGTGATGAGTGCATTCATCCCACAGAGTTGAAACTTTCTTTTGATTAAGCAGTTTGGAAAAAGTGTTTTTCTAGAATATGCAAAGGGATATTTCTGAGTGGTTTGAGGCCTATGGTGAAAAAGGAAATATCTTCACATGAAAACTAGTCAGAAGTTTCTTAGGAAATTCTGTGTGATGTGTGAATTCATCTCACAGATTTTACCCTTTCCTGTGATTGAGCAGCTTGGAAACAGTCTTATCATAGAATCTGCAAAGGGATATTTTGGAGACCTTGGAAGAATATGGTGAAAAAGCAAATATCTTCATATAAAAACTGGACAGAAGCTTTCTGAGAAACTTATAATGTGTGCATTCATCTCACAGATTTGAAGCTTTTTTTTGATTGAGCAGTTGGGAATCAGTCTTTTTCTAGAATCTGCAAAGGGATATTTCTTAGCAGTTTGAGGCATATGGTGAAAAAGGAAATATATTCACATCAAAAGTAGACAGAAGCTTTCTGAGAAACTTCTTTGTGATGTGTGCATTCAACTCACAAAGTTGAACCTTTCTTTTGATTGAGCAGTTTGGAAACAGTCTTTTTCTAGAATCTGCAAAGGGATATTTCTGAGCGGTTTGAGCCCTATGGTGAAAAAAGAAATATCTTCATATAAAAACTACACAGAAGATTTCTCAGAAATTTCTTTGTGATGTGTGCATTCATCTCATGGAGTTGAAACTTTCTTTTGAGTGAACAGTTTGGAAGACGTCTTTTTGTAGCTTCTGCAATGGGATATTTGGGATCCCTTTAGGCCTATGGTGAAAAAGGGAATATCTTCACATAAAAACTAGACAAGACCTTTCTGAAAAACTACTTTGTGATGGGTGCATTCATCTCACAGAGATGAAACTTTTTTTTGGTTGAGCAGTTTGGAAACAGTCTTTTTGTAGAATCTGCAAGGGGATATTTCTGAGCGGTTTGAGGCATATGGTGAAAAAGGAATTATCTTCACAAAGAAATAGACAGAAGCTTTCTGAGAAACTGCTGTGTGATGTGTGCATTCATCTTGCAGATTTGAACCTTTCTTTTGATTGAGCAGTTTGTAAACTGTCTTTTTGCAGAATCTGCAAAGGGATATTGGGACACCATTGAGGCCGATAGTGAAAAAAGGAATATCTTCACATAAAAACTGGACTGAAGGTTTCTGAGAAACTTCTTTGTGATCTGTGCATTCATGTCACAGAGTTGAAACATTCTTTTCATTGTGCAGTTTGGAAACAGACTTTTTCTTGAATCTGCAAGGAGATATTTCTGAGCGGTTTGAGGCCTATTGTGAAAAATCAAATATCTTCACATAAAAACTAGACGGACACTTCCTAAGGAACTCCTTTGTGATGTGTGCATTCATCTCACAGAGTAGAACCTTTCTTTTGATTGAACAGTTTGGAAGCAATCTTTTTGTAGAATCTGCAAAGGGATGTTTGCATTCACTTTGAGGCCTATGGTGAAAAAGGATATCTCTTCACATAAAAACTAGACAGGAGTATTCTGAGAAAGGATAGTGTGATGTGTGCATTCATCTCACACTGTTGAACCTTTCTTTTGATTGAGCAGTTTTGAAAGAGTCTTTTTGTAGAATCTGCAAAGGGATATTTGGAAGTCCTTAAAGGCCTGAAAAAGGAAATATCTTTCCATAAAAACTAGACAGAAGCTTTTGGAGAAACTACTTTGTGATGAGTGCATTCATTTCATGGAGCTGAATCTTTCTTTTGTTTGAGCAGTTTGGAAACAGTCTTTTTCTAGAATCTGCAAAGGGATATTTCTGTGCGGTTTGAGGCCTATGGTGAAGTAGGAAAAATCTTCACATAAAAACTACACAGAAGCTTTCTGAGAAACTTCTTTGAATGTGTGCATTCATCTCACAGATTTGAAGCTTTCTTTTAATTGTGCATTTGGAATCAGTCTTTTTCTAGAATCTGCAAAGGGATATTTCTGAGGATTGAGTCCTATGGTGAACAAGGAATTATCTTCACATAAAACTACACAGTAACTTTCTGAGAAACTTCTTTGTGATGTGTGCTTTCATCTCACAGAGTTAGATCTTTCTTTTGATTATGCTGTTTGGAAACCGTTTTTTTCTAGAATCTGCAAAAGGATATTTCTGATCGGTTTGAGGCCTATTGTGAAAAAGGAAGTATCTTCACATAAAAACTGGACAGAATATTTGAGAGAAACTTCTGTGTGATGTTTGTATTCAACTCACAGAGTTGAACATTTTTTTTGATTACGCAGTTTGGAAAAAGTGTTTTTGAAGAATCTGTAAGGGTATATTTGGGATCCCTTTGAAGCCTATGGTGAATAAGGGAATATCTTCACATAAAAACTAGACAGAAGCATTCTGGGAAACTTCTTTGTGATGTGTGCATTCATCCACAGAGTTGAAACTTTCTTTTGATTGAGCAGCTTGGGAACAGTCTTTTTCTAGAATCGGCAAGTAAATATTTCTGAGCCCTTTGAGACCTATGTTGGTAAAGGAAATAACTTCACATAAAATCTAGAGAGAAGGTTTCTGAGAAACTTCTTTGTGACGTGTGCATTCATCTCAAGAGTTGAACCTTTCTTTTGATTGAGCTGTTTGGAAACAGTCTTTCTGTAGAATCTGCCATGGGATATTTCTGAGCGGTTGAAGCCTGTGGTGAAAAAGGAAATAACTTCATATTAAAACTAGACAGCAGCTTTCTGAGAAAATTCTTTATGATATGTGCATTCATCTCACAGAATTGAACCTTTCTTTTGATACAGTAATTTGGAAACTGTCTTTTTGTAGAATCCGCAAAGGGATATTTGGGAGCCCCTTGAGGCCTATGGTGAAAAAGGAAATATCTTCACGTAAAAACTAGACAGAATCTTTCTGAGAAACTTCTTTGTGATATTTGCATTCAACTCACAGAGTTGAACATTTCTTTTGATTGAGCAGTTTGGAAATGGTCTTTTTAACGAATCTACAAAGGGATATTTGGGATCTCTTTGAGGCCTATGGTGGGAAAGGAAATATCTTCACATAAAAACTAGACAGAACAATTCTGAGAAACTTCTTTGTGATGTGTGCATACATCTCGCAGAGTTGAACACTTCTTTTGATTGAGCAGTTTTGAAAACCTCTTTTTGTACAATCTGCATGTGGATATTTGGAGCGCTTTGGGGCCTAAGGTGGAAAAGGAAATATCTTAATATAAAAACTGCACAGAAGCACTTTGAGAAACTTCTTTTTGAAGTGTGCATTCAACTCAGAGAGTTCAATCTTTCCTATGATTGAGCAGTTTAAAAACACTCTTTTTGTAGTATCTGCAAATGGATATTTGGAGCACTTTGAGGTCTATTGTGGAAAAGGAAATATCTTCATGCAAATACTAGACAGAAGCATTTTGAGAAATTTATTTGTGCTGTATTCATTCAACTCACAGAGTTGAAACTTTTTTTTGATTGAGGAGTTTTGAAACTCTTTTTCTGTAGAATGTGCAAGTGGATATTTGGTGTGCTCTGCAGTCTCTAGTGTAAAAGGAAATATCATCACCTATAAACTAGACAGAAGCATTCTGAGAAACTTCTTTGTGATGTGTGCATTCATCTCACGGAGTTGAACATTTCTTTTGATTGAGCAGTTTTGAAACACTCTTGTACAATCTGCATGTGGATATTTGGAGCATTTTCGGCCTCTAGTGGAAAAGGAAATATCTTCACATTAAAAGTAGACAGAAGTATTCTGAGAAACTTCTTTGTGATGTGTGCATTCATCTCACAGAGTTTAATCTTTCTTTTGATTGAGCAGTTTTGAAGCACTCTTTTTGTAGAATACGCAAGTGGACTTTTGGAGCACTTTGAGTCCTATGGTGGAAAAGGAGATATCTTCACACAAAAAGTAGACAGAAGTATACTGGAAACTTCTCTGTGATATGTGCATTCATCTCTCAGAGTTTAAACTTTCTTTTGATTGAGCACTTTTGAAACACACATTTTACAGAATCTGCAAGTGGACATTTGGAAAACTTTGTGGTCTATGGTGGAAAAGAAATATCTTCAAATAAAAACTAGACAGAAGGATTGTGAGAAACATCTTTGTGATGTGTGCATTCACCTCACAGAGTTTCACCTTTCTTCTGATTTAGCACATTTGAGAGACTGTTTTGTAGAATCTGCAAGTGGATATTTGGTCACTTTGCGGCCTCTATTGTAAGAGGAAATATCTTCACTTAAAAACTAGACAGAAGCATTCTGAGATACTTCTCTGTCATGTGTGCTTTCAGATCTCAGAGTTGAACATTTCCTTTGACTGACCAGTTTTGAACCCTATTTTTGTAGAATCTTCATGTGGATATTTGGAATGATTTGGGGTCTATGGTGGAAAAAGAAATATCTTCACATAAAAACTACACAGAAGAATTCTGAGAAACTTCTTTTTGCTGTGTGCATTCGCCTCAGAGTTGAAAATTTCTTTTGATGGAGGAGTTTTGAAACTCTCTTTTTGTAGAATTTGCAAGTGGATATTTGGAGAGCTTTGTAGTCTCTAGTGTAAAAGGAAATATCTTCACATAAAAACTAAACAGAAGCATTCTGAGAAACTTCCCTGTGATGTGTGCATTCGTTTCACAGAGTTGAACTTTTCTTTTGACTGAGCAGTTTTGAAACACTCCTTTTGTAGTATCTGAAAATGGATATTTGAAGTGCTTTGAGGCCTATGCTGGAAAAGGAATTATCTTCATATAAAATTTAGAAAGAAGTATTCTAGGAAACTGCTTTGTGATGTGAGCATTTAACTCACAGAGCTGAAACTTTCTTTAGATTGAGCAGTTTTGAAACACTCTTTTTACAGAATCTACAGGTGCATATGTGGAGTGCTTTGTGTCCTATAGTGGAAAAGGAAATATCTTCACATGAAAACTAGAGAGAGAAGCATTTGGAGAAACTTCTTTGTGATGTGTGCATTCATCTCACAGAGTTGAATCTTTCTTTTGATTGAGCAGTTTTGAAACACTCTTTTTACGGAATCTGTATGTGGATATTTGGAGTGCTTTGGGGCCTATGGTGGAAAAGGCAATATTTTCACATAAAAACTGCACAGAAGCATTCTCATAAACTTTTTTGTGATGTGTGAATTCAACTCACAGAGTTGAAACTTGGTTTTGATTGAGCAGTTTTGAAACACTCTTTTTGTAGCATCTGCAATTGGATATTTGGAGAGGTTTGTGCCCTGTGATGGATAAGGTAATATCTTCACTTAAATACTAGAAAGGATCATTTTGGGAAACTATTTTGTGATGGTGTGCATTCAACACTCAGAGTTGAACATTCCTTTCAATTGAGCAGTTTTAAAACACTCCTTTTTTGGAATCTGCAAGTGGATATTTGGAGCGCTTTGTGGCATGTACAGAAAAAGGAAATATCTTCACAGAAAAACTAGAGAGAAGCATTCTGAGAAACTTCTTTGTGGTGTGTGCATTCACCTCACAGAGTTGAAACTTTCTTTTGATTGAGCAGTTTTGATAAACAATTTTTGTAGAATCTGCAAGGGGATATTTGGGGTGTTTTGAGCCCTATGGTGGAAAAGGAAGTATCTTCACATGAAAACTAGACAGAAGCATTCTGAGAAACTTATATGTGATGTGTGCATTCACCTCACAGAGTTGAAACTTTCTTTTGATTGTGGAGTTTTGAAGCTCTGTTTTTGTAGAATCTGCAAGTGGATATTAGAGCGCTTTGAATCCTATGGTGGAAAAGGGTACGCCTTCACATGAATTCTGGACAGAAGGATTCTGAGAAAATTCTTAGTGATGTGTGCATTCATCTCCCAGATTTGAACCTTGCTTTTGATTGAGCAGTTTTGATACACTCTTTTTATGGAATCTGCAAGTGGATATTTGGAGCGCTTTGAGCCCTATGGTGGAAAAGGATGTATCTTCACATAAAAACTAGACAGAAGCATTCAGAGAAACTTTTTGTGATGTGTGCATTCAACTCACTGAGTTGAAACTTTCTTTTCACTGAGCAGTTTTGAAACTCTGTTTTTTTAGAATCTGTAGGTGCATATTTGGAGTGGTTTGGGGCCTAAGGTAGAAATGGAAATATCTTCACATAAAAACTAGACAGAAGCATTCTGAGAAACTGCTTTCTGAAGTGTGCCTTCATCTCACAGAGTTGAACCTTTCTTTAGATTGAGCAGTTTTCAAACACTTTTTTTGTAGTATCTGCAAGTGGATAGTTGGAGCAGTTTGAGGCCTATGGTGGAAAATGAAATAACTTCACATAAATACTAGACAGAAGCATTCTGAGAAACTTCTTTGTGATGTGTGCATTCAACTCACAGAGTTGAAACTTTCTTTTGATTGAGGAGTTTTGAAAGACTCTGTCTGTAATATCTGCAGTTTGACATTTGGAGTCGTTTGAGGCCTATGTTGGAAAAGGAAATATCATCACATATATACAAGACAGAAGCATTCTGAGAAAATTCTTTGTGTTGTGTGCATTCAACTATCAGAGTTGAAACTTTGTTTTGATTGAGCATATTTCAGACACTCTTTTTATAGTATCTGCAAGTGGATATTTGGAGCGCTTTGAGGCCTATGGTGGAAAAGGAAATATCTTTACTTAAATAATAGACAGAAGCATTATGAGAAAATTCTTTATGATGTGTGCATTGAACTCTCACAGTTGAACGTCTCATTTGATTGAGCAGTTTTGAAATGCCCTTTTTGTTGTATCTGCAAGTGCATATTTGGAGCTGTTTGAGGCCTGTGATGGAAAAGGAAATATCTTCACATAAATACTAGAATGAAGCACTCTGAGAAACTTCTTTGTGATGTGTGCATTCATCTCACAGAGTTGAAATTTTCTTTTGCTTGAGCAGTTTTGATAGACTTTTTTTGTAGAATCTGCAAGTGGAAATTTGGAGTGCTTTGAGCCCTGTGGTGGAAAAGGATATATCTTCACATAAAAACTAGACAGAAGCATACTGGGAAACTTCTTTGTGATGTGTGCATTCATCTCAGAATGTTGAAACTTTCTTTTGATTGAGCAGTTTTGAAACACTCTTTTTGTATCTGCAAGTGGATATTTGGAGCACTTTGTGGCTATGGTGGGAAAGGAAATATCTTCACATAAAAACTACACAGAAGCATTCTGAGACCCTTCTTTATGATGTGTGCATTCATCTCAAAGACTTGAACCTTTCTTCTGATTGAGCAGATTTGTAACACTGTTTTTGTATTATCTGCAATTGGATATTTGGAGTGATTTATGCCTATGTTGGAAAAGGGAATATCTTCACATATAAACTACCCGGAAGCATTCTGAGACTCTTAGAAGTGATGTGTGCATTCAACAGACAGTGTTGAACGTTTCTTTTGATTGAGCAGTTTTGACTCACTCTTTTTGTCGAATCTGTAAGTGGATATTTGGAGTGCTTGTGGCCTCAAGTGTAAAAGGATATATATTCACATAATAACTAGACAGAAGCATTCTGAGAAACTTGTTTGTGATGAGTGCATTCATCTCACAGAGTTGAACTTTTCTTTTCATAGAGCAGTTTGGAAACACTCTTTTTGTAAAATGTGAAAGTGGATATATGGAGCACTTTGAGGCCTTTGGTGGAAGAGGAAATAACTTCACATAAAAACTAGACTGATGTTTTCTGAGAAACTTCTTTGTGATGTGTGCATTCATCTCCCAGAGTTGAAACTTTTTTTTGATAGAGCAGTTTTGAAAAACTCCTTTTGTATAATTTGCAAGTGGATATTTGGAGTGTTTTGCGGCCTAAAGTGGAAAAGGAAATATCTTCACATAAAAAATAGACAGAAGCATTCTCAGAAACTTCTTTGTGATGTGTGCATTCATCTCTCAGAGTAGAAACTTCCTTTTATTGAGCAGTTTTGAAACATTCTTGTTGTAGATTCTGTAAGTGGATATTTGGAGCGCTTTGCAGCCTATAGTGGAAAAGGAAATATCTACACATCAAAACTAGACAGAAGCCTTCTGAGAAACATCTTTGTTATGTGTGCATTCATCTCACAGAGTTGAACGATTCTTTTGATAGAGCTGTTTTGAAACATACTTTTTCTAGAATCTGCAAGTGGATATTTGGAGTGTTTCGTGGGCTACGGTGGAAAAGGAAACATCTTCACATAAAAACTACAAAAAAGCATTCTGAGAAACTTCTTTGTGATGTATGCATTCATCTCACAGAGGAGAATCTTTCTTTTGATTGAGCATGCTTGAAACACTCTTTATAGGATCTGCATGTGGATATTTGGAGTGCTTGCGGCCTCTAGTGTAAAAGGAAATATCTTCACGTATTAACTAGACTGGAGCATTCTGAGAAACTTGTTTGTGATCCCACAGAGTTGAACCTTCTTTTTGATTGAGGAGTTTGGGAACACTCTTTTTGTAAAATGTGCATGTGGATATATGGAGCTCTTTGAGGCCTATGGTGGAAGAGAAAATATCTTCACATAAAAACTAGACATATGCATTCTGAGAAACTTCTTTGTGATGTGAGCATTGAACTCCCAGAGTTGAAACTTTCTGTTGATTGAGCAACTTTGAAAAACTCCATTTGTAGAATCTGCAAGTGGATATTTGGATTGCTTTGTGGCCTATAGCAGAAAAGGAAATATCTTCACATAAAAACTAGACAGAAGCACTCTCAGAAACGTCTTTGGATGTGTGCATTCATCTCTCAGAGTTCAACCTTTCTTTTGATTGAGCAGTTTTTAATCACTCTTTTTATAGTTTCTGCAAGTGTATATTTGGAGCGCTTTGCAGCCTACAGTGGAAACAGAAATATCTTCACATGAAAACTAGACAGAAACCTTCTGAGAAACTTCATTGTTACGTGTGCATTCATACCACCGAGTTGAAGGATTCTTTTTGAAGAGCAGTTTTGAAAAACACTTTTTGTAGTTTCTGCAAGTGGATATTTGGAGCGCTTTGAGGACTATGGTGGAAAAGGGAATATCTTCACATAAAAACTAGACAGAAGCATTCTGAGTAACTTCTTTGTGATGTGAGCATTCAACTCACAGAGTAGAAACTTTCTTTTGATTGAGCACTTTTGAAACACTCTTTTTATAGAATCTGCATGTGGATATTTGGAGGGATTTTGGGCCTATGGTGGAAAACGAAATATCTTCACATAAAAAGTATACAGAAGCATCCTGGAACCATCTTTGTGATGTGTGCATTCAACTCACAGAGTTGAAGATTTGTTTTGATTGAGGAGTTTTGAATCACTCTTTTTGAAGTATCTGAAAATAGATAATTGGGACAGTTTGAGCCCTGTGGTGGATAAGGAAATATCATCTAATAAATTCTAGACAGAATCATTTTGAGAAACTTCTCTGTGATGTGTGCATTCAACTCACAGAGTTGAACCTTTCTTTTGATTGAGCAGTTTTGAAACACTCTTTTTGTAGATTATGCAAGTGTATATTTTGAGCGTGTTGTGGCATCTACAGGAAAAGGAAATATCTTCACGTAAAAACTAGATAGAAGCATTCTGAGAAACTTCTTTGTGATGTGTGCATTCATCTTACAGAAGTGAAACTTTCTTTTGATTGAGCAGGTTTGATACACTCTTTTTGTAGAGTCTGCAACGGGATATTTGGGGTGTTTTGATCCCTATGGTGGAAAAGGAAGTATCTTCACATAAAAACTAGACCGAAACATTCTGAGAAACTTCTTTGTGATGTGTGCGTTCACCTCACAGAGTTGAACCTGTGGTTTCACTGAGCAGGTTTGAAACACTCTTTTTGTAGAATCTGCACGTGGATATTGGAGTGCTTTGAGACTTATGGTGGAAAATTAAATATCTTCACTTAAAAACTAGACTGAAGCATTCTGAGAAACTTCTTTGTGATGTGTGCATTCAACCCACAGAGTTGAAACTGTCTTTTATTGAGCAGTTTGGAAACACTCTTTTTGTAGAATCTGCAAGTGGATATTTGGAACGCTTTGTGGCCTATGGTGGAAAAGGAAATATCTTCACATAAAAACTATACAGAAGCATTCTGGAACACTTCTTTGTGATGTGTGCATTCATCTCTCAGAATTGAACATTTCTTTTGATTGCACAGTTTTGAATCACTCTTTTTGTAGAATCTGCAAGTGGATATTCAGAGCGCTTGGGGCCTATGGTGGAAAAGGAAGTATCTTCATATAAAAACTAGACAGAAGCATTCTGATGAACTTCTTTGTGATGTGTGCATTCAACTAACGGGGACGAATCTCTCTTTTGATTGAGGAGTCATGAAACTCTCTTTTTGTAGAATCTGCAAGTGGATATTTGGAGAGTTTTGTGGCCTCTAGTGCAAGATGAAATTTCTGCACATACAAACTAGACAGAAGCATTCTGAGAAACTTCTTTGTTATGTGTGCATTTATCTCTCTGAGGTGATCCTTTCTTTTGATTGAGTAGTTTTGAAACACTCTTTTTGTAGTATCTGCAAGTGGATATTTGGAGCAATTTGTGGCCTGTGGTCGAAAAGGAAATATCTTTACATAAAAACTAGCCAGAAGAATTCTGGGAAACATCTTTTTGATGCGAGCATTCATCTCACAGAGTTGAAGCTTCCTACTGATTGATGAATTGTGAATTCTCTTTTTGTAGAATCTGCAAGTGGATATTGGGAGCAATTTGAGGCCTATGGTCAAAAAAGAAGTATCTTCACATGAAAACTACACAGACGCATTCTGAGTAACTTTTTTGTGATGTATGCATTCAACTCACAGAGATGAAATTATCTTTCAATTGAGCAGTTTCAAAATTCTCTTTTTGTAGAATCTGCAAGTGGATATTGGGAGCGCTTTTAGGCCTATCTTGGAAATTGAAATATCTTCACATAAGTACTACACAGAAGCATTCTGTGAAACTTCTTTGCGATGTGTGCATTCATCTCACAGAGGTGAGATGAATCACAGAGGTGAGATGAATGCACACATCACAAAGAAGTTTTTCAGAATGCTTCGGTGTAGTTTTCACATGAAGCTATTTACTTTTTCACAGTAGGCCTCAAAGCGCTTCAAATATCCACTTGCAGATTCTATAAAAAGAGTGTTTCAAAACTGCTCAATCAAAAGAAACATTCAACTCTGGTAGATGAATGCACACATCACAATGAAGTTTCTCAGAATGCTTCTGTCTAGTTTGTATGTGCAAAAATTTCAGTTTCCACCATAGACAAAACAGCGCTCCAAATATCCACTTGCAGATTCTACAGAAAGAGAGTTTCAAAACTGCTCAATAAAATGAAATGTTCAACTCTGTTAGAAGAATGCACACGTCACAACGAAGTTTCTCAGAATCCTTCTGTGTAGTTCTTATGGGAAGATATTTCCTTTTCCACCATTGGCCACAAAGTGCTCCAAATAACCACTTGCAGATCCTACAAAAAGAGAGGTTCAAAACTGCTCTATCAAAAGATAGGCTCAACTCTGTGAGATGGATGCAAACATCACAAAGAAGTTTCTCAGAATTCTTCTCTGTAGTTTTTATGTGAAGATATTTTCTTTTCCACCATCGGCCTTAAAGCGTTCCAAATGTCCACTTGCATATTCTACAAAAAGAGTGTTTCAAAACTGCTCAATCAAAGGAAAGTTTCAACTCTGTGAGATGAATGCACACATCACAAAGCAGTTTCTCTGAATGTTTCTGTATAGCTTTTATGTGAAGATATTTCCTTTTCCACAGTTGGCCTCCAAGGGATCCAAATATCCACTTGCAGTTTCTACAGAAAGAGTGTTTCAAAACTGCTCAATCGAGTGAAATGTTCAACTCTGCGAGTTGAATGCACACATCAAAAAGTGGTTTCTCAGAATGCTTCTGTGTAATTTTTATGTGAAGATATTTCCTTTCCACCATAGGCCTCTAAGGGCTCGAAATATACACTTGCAGATTCTACAAAAAGAGTGTTTCCAAACTGCTCAATCAAAACAGTGGTTCAACTCTGTGAGATGAATGCACACATCACAAAGAAGTTTCTCAGAGTGCTTCTGTGTAGTTTTTATATGAAGATATTTCCTTTTCCATGAGAGGTCGCAAAGGGCTTGAAATATCCACTTGCAGATTCTACAAAAAGAGTGTTTCCAAACTGCTCAATCAAAACAGTGGTTCAACTCTGTGAGACGAATGCATGCATCACAAAGAAGTTTCTCAGAATTCTTCTGTGTAGCTTTTATGTGAATATATTTCCTTTTCCACCCTAGGCCTCAAATCGCTCCAAATATCCAATTGCAGATTCTACCAAAAGAGTATTTCACAACTGCTCAATCAAAAAAACGTTCAACTTGGTGAGATGAATGCACACATGACAAAGAAGTTTTTCTGAATGCTTCTGTGTAGTTTTTATGTGAAGATATTTACTTTTCCACAATAGTCCTCAAAGTGCTCCAAATATCCCCTTGCAGATTCTACAGAAAGAGTTTCAAAACTGCTCAATCAAATGAAAGTTTCAACACTGTGAGATGAATGCATACATCACAAAGAAGTTTCTCAGACTTCTT
This sequence comes from Homo sapiens, assembly GCF_000001405.40. NCBI lineage: Eukaryota > Metazoa > Chordata > Mammalia > Primates > Hominidae > Homo > Homo sapiens. The sequence goes on from NC_000010.11 coordinate 39,424,337, forward strand.
CTGTGTAGTTTTTGTATGAAGATATTTCCTTTTCCACGAGAGCCCACAAAGGGCTCAAATATCCACTTGCAGATTTAACAAAAACAGAGTTGCAAAACTGCCCTTTCAAAAGATAGGCTCAACTCTGTGAGACGAATGCACACATCACAAAGAAGTTCCTGAGAATGCTTCTGTGTAGTTTTTATGTGAAGATATTTCCTTTTCCACAACAGGCCTCAAAGTGTTGCAAACATCCACTTGCAGATTCTACAGAAAGAGTGTTTCAAAATTGCTCAATCAAATGAGCAGTTCAACTCTGTGAGATGAATGCACACATCACAAAGAAGTTTCTCAGAATGCTTCTGTCTTGTTTTTATGTGAAGATATTTCCTTTTGCAACATCGGCCATGAAGGGCTCAAAATAAACACTTGCAAATTCTACAAAAAGAGAGTTTCAAAACTGCTCTATCAAAACATAGGTTGAAGTCTGCGAGTTCAATGCACACATCACAGGGAGGTTTCTCAGAATGCATCTGTGCAGTTTTTATGTGAAGATATTTCCTTTTCCACCATAGGCCTGAAAGCACTCCAAATATCCACTTGAAGATTCTGTGAATAGAGTGTGTCAAAACTGCTCAATCAAAAGAAAGGTTCAATTCTGTGAGATGAGTGCACACAAAACAACAAGTTTCTCAGAATGCTTCTGTGCAGTTATTATGTGAAGATCATTCCTTTTCTACAACAGGCCTAAAAGAGCTCCAAATATCCGCCTGCAGATTCTACAAAAAGAGTGTTTCCAAACTCCTCAATCAAAAGAGAGGTTCAACTCTGTGATATGAATGCACACATCACAAAGAAGTTTCTCAGAATGCTTCTGTGTAGTTTTTATGTGAAGATACTTCCTTTTCCACATTATGCCACAAAGGGCTCCAAATATGCATGTGCAGATTCTACTAAAGGAGAGTTTCAAAACTGCTCTATCAAAAGATAGGTTCAACTCTGTGAGTTGAATGCACACATTACAAAGAAGTTTCCCAGAATGCTTCTGTGTAGTTTTTATGTGAAGATATATCCTTCTCCACCATAGGCCTCAAAGTGCTCAAAATATCCAATTGCAGATTCTACAAAAAAAGTGTTTCAAAACTGCGCAATCAAAAGAAAGATTCAACTCTGTGAGAAGAATGCACACATCACAAAGAAGTTTCTCAGAATGCTTCTGTGTAGTTTTTTTGTGAAGATATTTCCTTTTCCAGCATAGGCTGCAAAGGGCTCCAAATATTCACTTGCAGATTCTACAAAAAGAGACTTTGAAAACTGCTCTATGAAAAGATAGGTTCAACTCTGTGAGATGAATGCACACATCACTAAGAAATTTCTCAGAATTCTTCTGTGTAGTTTCTAAGTGAAGTTATTTCTTTTTCCACCATAGGCCACAAAGGGCTTAAAATAACCACTTCCAGATTCTACAAAAATATAGTTTCAAAACTGTTCTATCAAAATGTCTGTTCAACTCAGCGAGTTGAATGCACACATCACAAAGAAGTTTCACAGAATGTTTCTGTGTAGTTTTTACATGAAGATATTTCCTTTTCCACCAGAGGCCTCAAAACGCTCCAAATATCCACTTGCAGATCCTACAAAAAGAATGTTTCAAAACTGCTTAATCAAAAGAAAAGTTCAACTCTGTGAGATGAATGCACACATCACAAAGAAGTTTCTCAGAATGCCTCTGTGTAGTTTTTATGTAAAGATATCTCCTTTTCCACAATAGGCTGCAAATGGCTCCAAATATCCACTTGTAGATTCTACAAAAAGAGTGTTTCTAAACTGCTCTATCAAAAGATATGTTCAACACAGTGAGATGAATGAACACATCACAAAGAAGTTTCTCAGAATGCTTCTGTGTAGTTTTTATGTGAAGATATTTCCTTTCCCACCATAGGCCTCAAAGCGCTCAAAACATCCCCTTGGAGATTCTACAAAAATAGTGTTTCAAAACTGCGCAAATGAATGTTTCAACACTGTGAGATGAATGCTCACATCACAAAGAAATTTCTCACAATGCTTCTGTGTAGTTTTTAATGGGAAGATATTTCCTTTCCCACCATAGGCCTCAAAGCGCCCAAAACATCCCCTTGGAGATTCTACAAAAATAGTGTTTCAAAACTGTGCAAATGAATGTTTCAATACTGTGAGATGAATGCTCACATCACAAAGAAATTTCTCACAATGCTTCTGTGTAGTTTTTAATGGGAAGATATTTCCTTTACCACCATCGGCCCCAAAGGGCTCCAAATAACCACTTGCAGATTCTACAAAAAGAGAGTTGCAAAACTGCTCTATCAAAAGATAGGTTCAACTCTGCGAGTTGAATGCCCACATCACAAAGAAGTTTCTGAGAATGCTTCTGTGTGGTTTTACGTGAAGATATTTCCCTTTCCACGACAGGCCACAAGGGGCGCCAAATATCCACTTGCAGATTCTACAAAAAGAGAGTTTCAAAACTGCTCTAACAACAGATAGGTTCAACTCTGTGAGATGAATGCACACATCACAAAGATGTTTCTCAGAATGCTTCTGTGTAGCTTTTATGTGAAGATATTTCCTTTTCCACCATAGGCCTCAAATCGCTCCTAATATCCACTTGCAGATTCTACAAAAATAATGTTTCCAAACTGCTGAATCAAAAGAGAGGTTCAACCCTGTGAGATGAATGAACACATCACAAAGAAGTTTCCTAATGCTTCTGTGTAGTTTTTATGTGAAAATATTTCGTTTCAACCATAGGCTGCAAAGGGCTCCAAATATCGACTTGCAGATTCTACAAAAAGAGAATTTCAAAACTGCTCTATCAAAAAATACATTCAACTCTGTGAGATATATGTGCACATCACAAAGAAGTTTCTCAGAATGCTTCTGTGTAGTTTTTATGTGAAAATATTTCCTTTTCCCCCATAGGCCTCAAAGCTTTCCAAATATCCACTTGCAGATTCTACAAAAAGAGTATTTCAAAACTGCTCAATCAAAGAAAATGTTCAACTCTGTGAGATGAATGCACACATCACAAGGAAGATTCCCAGAATGCTTCTTTGCAGTTTTTATGTGAAGATATTTCGTTTTCCACAATAGGCCTCAAAGTGCTCCAAATATCCACTTGCACATTGTAGAAAAAGAGTGTTTCAAAACTGCTCAATCAAAAGAAATCTTCATCTCTGTGAGATAAATGCACACATCACAAAGAAGTTTCTCAGAATGCTTCTGTGTAGTTTTTACATGAAGATATTTCCTTTTCCACAATAGGCCTTAAAGTGCTCAAAATGTCTACTTGCATATTCTATAGAAAGTGTTTCAAAACTGCTCAGTCAAATGAAAGGTTCAACTCTTTGAGATGAATGCACACATCACAAAGAAGTTTCTCAGAATGCTTCTGTGTAGTTTTTATGGAAAGATATTTCCTTTTCCATCACCGGCCACAAAGGGCTCAAAATAACCACTTGCAGATTCTACAAAAAGAGAGTTTCAAACTCTTCTATCAAGTGATAGGTTCAACTCTGCGAGTTGAATGCACACATCACAAAGTAGTTTCTCAGAATCCTTCTTTGTAGTTTCTGTGTGAAGGTATTTCCTTTTCCACCATAGGAGTGAAAGTGCTCCAAATATCCCCATGCAGATTCTGTGAAAAGAGTGTTTCTAAACTGCTCAATGAAAAGAAATTTTCAACTCTGTGAGATGGATGCAGACAAAACAAAGAAGCTTCTCAGAATGCTTCTGTGTAGTTTTTATGGGAAAATATTTCCTTTTCCACCATAGGCTGCAAAGTGCTCAAAATATCCACTTACAGATTTTACAAAAAGAGTGTTTCCAAGCTGCTCAATCAAAAGAGAGGTTCAACCCTGTGAGATGAATGAACACATCACAAAGAAGTTTCTCTGAATGCTTCTGTGTAGTTCTTATGTGAAGATATTTCCTTTTCCACCATGGGCTGCAAAGGGCTCCAAATATCCACTTGCAGGTTCTACAAAAAGAGAGTTTCAAAACTGCTCAACCCAAAGATACTTTCAACTCTGTGAGATGTATGCACACATCACAAAGAAGTTTCTCAGAATGCTTCTGTGTAGTTTTTAAGTGAAGATATTTCCTTTTCCACCATAGGCCTCAAAGCTCTCCAAATATCCACTTGCAGATTCCATGAAAAGAGTGATTCAAAACTGCTCAATCAAAGGAAAGATTCAACTCTGTGAGATGAATGCACACATCACAAAGTAATTTCTCAGAATGCTTCTGTGTAGTTTTTATGTGAAGATATTTCCTTTTCCACAGTAGGCCTCAAAGCGCTCCAAATATCCAGTTGCAGATTCTATAAAAAGAGTGTTTCCAAACTGCTCAATCAAAAGAGAGGGTCCCATCAATACGTAATTTATTGAGAGTTTTTAGCATGAAGTTTTGTTGAATTTTGTCAAAGGCCTTTTCTCCATCTATGGATATAATCATGTAGTTTTTGTCTTTGGTTCGGTTTATATGCTGGAGTTATGTATGACAAATCCACAGCAAATATCATACTGAATGGGCAAGAACTGAAACATTCCCTTTGAAAACTGGCACAACACAGGGATGCCCTCTCTCACCACTCCTATTCAACATAGTGTTGGAAGTTCTGGCCAGGGCAATTAGGCAGGAGGAGGAAATAAATGGTTTTCAATTAGGAAAAGAGGAAGTGAAATTGTCCCTGTTTACAGATGACATGATTGTGTATCCAGAAAACCCCATTGTCTCAGCCTCAAATCTCTCAGCCCCAAATCTCCTTAAGCTGATAATCAACTGCAGCAAAGTCTCAGGATAGAAAATCAATGTACAAAATCACAAACATTCTTATACACCAATTACAGAGGAACTGAGAGCCAAATCATTAGTGAACTCCCACTCACAATTGCTTCAAACAGAATAAAATACCTAGGAATCCAACTTCAAAGGGACATGAAGGACGTCTTCAAGGAGAACTACAAACCACTGCTCAATGAAATAAAAGAGGAGGCAAACAAATAGAAGAACATTCCATGCTTATGGGTAGGAAGAATCAATATTGTGAAAATGGCCATACTGCCCAAGGTAATTTATAGATTCAATGCCATACCCATCAATCTACCTATTGCTTTCTTCACAGAATTAGAAAAAACTACTTTAAAGTTCATATGGCACCAAAAAAGAGCCTGCATCACCACATCAATCCTAAGCCAAAAGAACAAAGCTGGAGGCATCACACTACCTGACTTCAAACTATACTACAAGGCTACAGTAACCAAAACAGCATGGTACTGGTACCAAAATAGAGATATAGATCAATGGAACAGAACAGAGCCCTCAGAAATAACGCCACATATCTAAAACTATCTGATCTTTGACAAACCTGAGAAAAACAAGCAATGATGAAAGGATTCCCTATTTAATAAATGGTGCTGGGAAAACTGGCTAGCCATATGTAGAAAGCTGAAACTGGATCCCTTCGTTACACCTTATACAAAAATCAATTCAAGATGGATTAAATACTTAAACGTTAGACCTAAAACAATAAAAACCCTAGAAGAAAACCTAGGCATTACCATTCAGGACATAGGCATGGGCAAGGACTTCATGTCTAAAACACCAAAAGCAATGGCAACAAAAGACAAAATTGACAAATGGGATCTAATTAAACTAAAGAGCTTCTGCACAGCAAAAGAAACTACCATCAGAGTGAACAGGCAACCTACAAAATGGGAGAAAATTTTCTCAACCCACTCATCTGACAAAGGGCTAATATCCAGAATATACAATGAACTCAATCAAATTTACAAGAAAAAAACAAACAACCCCAACCAAAAATGGGCAAAGGACATGGGCAGACACTTCTCCAAAGAAGACATTTATGCAGCCAAAAAAGACACATGAAAAAATGCTCACCATCACGGGCTACCAGAGAAATGCAAATCAAAACCACAATGAGATACCATCTCTCACCAGTTAGAATGGCAATCATTAAAAAGTCAGGAAACAACAGGTGCTGGAGAGGATGCGGAGAAATAGGAACACTTTTACACTGTTGGTAGGACTGTAAACTAGTTCAACCACTGTGGAAGTCGGTGTGGCGATTCATTAGGGATATAGAACTAGAAATACCATTTGACCCAGCCATCCCATTACTGGGTATATATGCAAAGGACTATAAATCATGCTGCTATAAAGACACATGCACCCGTATGTTTATTATGGCACTATGCACAATAGGAAATATTTGGAACCCACACAAATGTCCAAAAATGATACACTGGATTAAGAAAATGTGGCACATAAACACCATGGAATACTATGCAGCCATAAAAAATGTAGAGTTCATGTCCTTTGTAGGAACATGGATGAAATTGGAAATCATCATTCTCAGTAAAGTATCACAAGAACAAAAAACAAAATACCACATATTCTCACTCGTAGGTGGGAATTGAACAATAAGAACACATGGACACAGGAAGGAGAACATCACACTCTGGGGACTGCTGTGGTGTGGGGGGAGGGTGAGGGATATCTTTAGGAGATATACCTAATGCTAAATGACGAGTTAATGGGTGCATCACACCAGCATAGCACATGTATACATATGTAGCTAACCTGCACATTGTGCACATGTACCCTAAATCTTAAAGTGTAATAATAATAATAAAAAGAAAAAGAAAAGAAAAGGTAGGGTTAAATCTGTGAGATTAATGCACACATCACAAACAAGTGTCTTAGGATGTTTCTGTTAGTTTTTAGGTGAAGATATTTCCTTTTCCACCATAGGACTCAAAGTGCTCCAAATATCCACTTGCAGATTCTACAAAAAGAGAGGTTCAAACTGCTCTATCAAAAGATACGTTCAACTCTGTGAGATGAATGCACACATCACAAAGAAGTTTCTCAGAATGCTTCTATGTAGTCTTTAGGTGAAGACATTTCCTTTTCCACCATAGGACTAAAAGGGCTCCAATATCCAGTTGCAGTTCCATTTTTCATAATGTTTCTGTGTAGTTTTTATATGAAGATATTTCCTTATACGAAAAGAGTGTTTCAAAACTGCTCCATCAAAAGAAATGTTCAACTCTGTGAGATGAATGCACACATCACAAAAAAGTTTCTCTGAATGCTTCTGTGTAGTTTATATATGAAGATATTTCCTTTTCTACAATAGGCCTCATAGCACTCCAAATATCCATTTGCAGATTCTACAAAAAGAGTGTTGCAAAACTGCGCAGTCAAAAGAGAGGTTCACAGCTGTGAGAAGAATGCACACATCACAAAGAAGTTTCTGAGAATGCTTCTGTCTAGTTTTTATGTGAAGCTATTTCCTTTTCCACCGTAGGCAGCAAAGGGCTCCAGATATCCACATGTACATATTACAAAAAGAGAGTTTCAAAACTGCACTATGAAAAGATAGGTTCAACTCTGTGAGTTGAATGCACACATCACAAAGTAGTTTCTGGTAATGCTTCTGTGTAGTTTTTATGTGAAGATATTTCCTTTTCCACAATAGGCTTCAAAGCGTGCCCAATATCCAATTGCAGATTCTACAAAAAGAGTGTTTCAATACTGCCCATTCAAAAGAAAGTTTCAACTGTGTGAGATGAATGCACACATCACAACGAAGTTTCTCTGAATGCTTCTGTGTAGTTTTTATGTGATGATATTTCCTTTTCCACCATAGTCCTCAAAGGGCTCCAAGTATCCACTTGCAGATTCTATGAAAAGAGTGTTTCAAAGCTGTTCAAACAAAACAAAGGTTCGACTCTGTGAGATGAATGCACACATCCCAAAGAAGTCTCTCAGAATGCTTCTGTGTAGGTTTTATGTGAAGATATTTCCTTTTGCACAATAGGCCTAAAAGCGCTCCAAATATCCACTTGCAGATTTACAAAAAGTGGTTTCCACACTGCCCAATTAAAAGTAAGGTTCAACTCTGTGAGATGAATGCACATATCACAAAGAAGTTTCTCACAATGCTTCTGTGTAGTTATTAAGGGAAGATATTTTCATTTCCAACCTAGGCCACAAAGGGCTCCGAATATACACTTCCAGATTCTACAAAAAGAGAGTTTCAAAACTACACTTGCAAAAGGTAGGTTCAAGTCAGTGAGTTGAATGCACACATCACAAAGAAGTTTATCAGAATGTTACTGTGTATTTTTCATATAAAGATATTTCCTTTTCCACCATAGGCCTCAAAGCACTCCAACTATCCACTTCCTGATTCAACAAAAAGAGTGTTTCAAAACTGCTCTATCAAAAGAAAGTTTAAGCACTGTAGTTGAATGCACACATCACAAAGAAGTTTATGAGAAAGTTTCTGTCTAGTTTTTATGGGAAGATATTCCCTCTTCCACCATAGGCCTCAAAGCTCTCCAAATATTCACTTGCAGATTCTACAAAAAGAGGGTTTCAAAACTGCTGCATCAAAAGAAATTTTCAACACTTTTATTTGAAAGCACACATCACAAAGAAGTTTCTGGAATGTTTCTGTCTAGTTTTTATGTGAAGATATTTCCTTTTCCAAATTAGGACACAGAGTGCTCCAAATATCCACTTGCAGATTCTACAAAAAGAGGGTTTCAAAACTGCTCCATCAAAAGAAATGTTCACCTGTGTGAGATGAATGCACACATCACAAAGAAGTTTCTGAGAATGCTACTGTCTAGTTTTTATGTGAAGATATTTCTTTTTCTACCATAGGCCTCAAAACGATGCAAATATCCACTTGCAGATTCTACAAAAAGAGTGTTTCAAAACTGCTCTATCAAAAGAAAGGGTCAACTCTGTGAGTTGAATGCACACATCAAAAAGAAGTTTCTGAAAATGCTTGTGTCTAGTTTTTCAGTGAAGACATTTCCTTTTCCATTATAGGCCTCAAAGCACTCAAAAATATCCACTTGCAGATTCTACAAAAAGAGTGTTTCAAAATTGCTCTATCGAAAGAAACGTTCAACTCTGTGAGTTGAATGCACACATCACAAAGAAGTTTCTGAGAATGCTTCTCTCTAGTTTTTAGGGGAAGATATTACCATCTGCATCATAGGCCTCAAACACTCCAAATATCAACTTGCAGATTCTACAAAGAGTGTTTCAACACTGTTCTATCAAAAGAAAAGTTCAACTCTGTGATTTGAATGCACACATCACAAATAAGTTTCTGAGAATGCTTCTCTTTAGTTTTAATGGGAAGATATTTCCCTTTCCACTGTAGGCCTCAAAGTGCTCCAAATATCCACTTGCAGATTCTACGAAAAGAGTGTTTCAAAACTGCTCAATCAAAAGAAAGGTTCAACTCTGTGATTTGAATGCACACATTACAAAGAAGTCTCTGAGAATGCTTCTGTCTAGTTTTTATGGGAGGATATTTCCTTTTCCACTATAGGCCTCAAAGTGCTCCAAATATCCAGTGTCAGATTCTACAAAAAGAGTGTTTCAAAACTGTTCTATCAAAAGAAGCTTCAAGTCTGTGAGTTGAATGCACAAATCACAAAGAAGTTTCTAAGAATGCTTCTGTCTAGTTTTTATGGGAAGATATTTCCTTTTCCACCATAGTCCTCAAAGTGCTCCAAATACCCAACTGGAGATTCTACAAAAAGAGTGATTCAAAACTGATCAATCCAAAGAAATGTTCAACTCTGTGAGCTGAATGCACACATCAAAAAGAAGTTTCTGAGAATGCTTCTCTCTAGTTTTTTTGTGAAGATATTTCCTTTTCCACCATAGGCCTCAAAGCACTCCGAATATCCACTTGCAGATTCTTCAAAAAGAGTGTTTCAAAACTGCTTTATCAAAAGAAAGGGTCAACTATATGAGTGGAATGCACACATCACAAAGAACTTTCTGAGAATGCTTCTGTCTAGATTGTATCGGACGATATTTGCTTTTCCACCGTAGGGCTCAAAGCGCTCCCAATATCCACTTGCAGATTCTACAAAAAGAGTGTTTCAAAACTGCTCTATCAAAAGAACGGTTCAACTCTGCGAGTTGAATGCACACATCAGAAAGAGGTTTCTGATAATGCTTCTGTCTAGTTTTTATGGGAAGGTATTTCCTTTTCCACTATAGGCCTCATAGCGATCCAAATATCCACTTGCAGATTCTACAAAAAGAATGATTCAAAACTAGCTCAGTCAAAGGAAAGGATCAACTCTGAGTTGAATGCACACATACAAAGAAGTTTCAGAGAATGCTTCTGTCTAATTTTCATAAGAAGATATTTCCTTTTCCACCATAGGCCTCAAAGCATTCCAAATATCCACTTGCAGATTCTACAAAAAGAGTGTTTCTTTTTTTTTTTTTTTATTTATTCATTATTATTATACTTTAAGATTTAGGGTACATGTACACAATGTGCAGGTTAGTTACATGTGCATACATGTGTCATGCTGGTGCGCTGCACCCAATAACTCGTCATCCAGCATTAAGTATATCTCCCAATGCTATCCCTCCCACCCCCTCACCCCACAACAGTCCCCAGAGTGTGATGTTCCCCTTCCTGTGTCCATGTGTTCTCATTTTTCAATTCCCACTTATGAGTGAGAATATGCAGTGTTTGGTTTTTTGTTCTTGCAATAGTTTACTGAGAATGATGATTTCCAATTTCATCCATGTCCCTACAAAAGACATGAACTCATCATTTTTTATGGCTGCATAGTATTCCATGGTGTATATGTGCCACATTTTCTTAATCCAGTCTATCATTGTTGGATATTTGGGTTGGTTCCAAGTCTTTGCTATTGTGAATAATGCCACAATAAACATACGTGTGCATGTGTCTTTATAGCAGCATGATTTATAGTCCTTTGGGTATATACCCAGTAATGGGATGGCTGGGTCAAATGGTATTTCTAGTTCTAGATCCCTGAGGAATCCCCACACCGACTTCCACAATGGTTGAACTAGGTTACAGTCCCATCAACAGTGTAAAAGTGTTCCTATTTCTCCACATCCTCTCCAGCACCTGTTGTTTCCTTTTTAGTGATAGCCATTCTAACTGGTGAGAGATGGTATCTCATTGTGGTTTTGATTTGCATTTCTCTGATGGCCAGTGATGACGAGCATTTTTTCATGTGTCTTTTTTGGCTGCATAAATGTGTTCTTTTGAGAAGTGTCTGTTCATGTCCTTCACCCACTTTTTAATGGGGTTGTTTGTTTTTTTTCTTGTAAATTTGTTTGAGTTCATTGTAGATTCGGGATATTAGCCCTTTGTCAGATGAGTCGGTTGTGAAAATTTTCTCCCATTTTGTAGGTTGCCTGTTCACTCTGATGGTAGTTTATTTTGCTGTGCAGAAGATCTTTAGTTGGATTAGATCCCATTTGTCAATTTTGGCTTTTGTTGCCATTGCTTTTGGTGTTTTAGACATGAAGTCCTTGCCCATGCCTATGTCCTGAATGGTATTGCCTAGGTTTTCTTCTAGGCTGTTTATGGTTTTAAGTCTAACCTTTAAGTCTTTAATCCATCTTGAATTGATTTTTGTATAATGTGTAAGGAAGGGATCCAGTTTCTGCTTTCTACATATGGCTAGCCAGTTTTCCCAGCACCATTTATTGAATAGGGAATCCTTTCATCATTGCTTGTTTTTCTCAGGTTGGTCAAAGATCAGATAGTTGTAGATATGTGGCATTATTTCTGAGGGCTCTGTTCTGTTCCATTGATCTATATCTCTGTTTTGGTACCAGTACCATGCTGTTTTGGTTACTGTAGCCTTGTAGTATAGTTTGAAGTCAGGTAGTGTGATGCCTCCAGCTTTGTTCTTTTGGCTCAGGATTGACTTGGCAATGCGGGCTCCTTTTTGGTTCCATATGAACTTCAAATAGTTTTTTTCTAATTCTGTGAAGAAAGTCATTGGTAGCTTGATGGGGATGGCATTGAATCTATAAATTACCTTGGGCAGTATGGCCATTTTCACGATATTTATTCTTCCTACCCATGAGCATGGAATGTTCTTCCATTTCTTTGTACCCTCTTTTATTTCCTTGAGCAGTGGTTTGTAGTTCTCCTTGAAGATGTCCTTCACATCCCTTGTAAGTTGGATTCCTAGGAATTTTATTCCTTTGAAGCAATTTTGAATGGGAGTTCACTCATGATTTGGCTCTCTGTTTGTCTGTTGTTGATGTATAAGAATGCTTGTGATTTTTGTACATTGATTTTGTATCCTGAGACTTTGCTGATGTTGCTTATCAGCTTAAGGAGATTTTGGGCTGAGACAATGGGGTTTTCTAGATATACAATTGTGTCGTCTGCAAACAGGGACAATTTGACTTCCTCTTTTCCTAATTGAATACCCTTTATTTCCTTCTCCTGCCTGATTGCCCTGGCCAGAACTTCCAACACTATGTTCAATAGGAGCGGTGAGAGAGGACATCCCTGTCTTGTGCCAGTTTTCAAAGGGAATGCTTCCCGTTTTTGCCCATTCAGTATGATATTGGCTGTGGGTTTGTCATAGATAGCTCTTATTATTTTGAAATGCGTCCCATCAATACCTAATTTTTTGAGAGTTTTTAGCATGAAGGGATGTTGAATTTTGTCAAAGCCTTTTCTGCATCTATTGAGATAATCATGTGGTTTTTCTCTTTGGTTCTGTTTATATGCTGGATTACATTTATTGATTTGTGTATATTGAACCAGCCTTGCATCCCAGGGATGAAGCCCACTTGATCATGGTGGATAAGCTTTTAGATGTGCTGCTGGATTCGGTTTGCCAGTATTTTATTGAGGATTTTTGCATCAATGTTCATCAAAGATATTGGTCTAAAATTCTCTCTTTTGGTTGTGTCTCTGCCTGGCTTTGGTATCAGGATGATGCTGGCCTCATAAAATGAGTGTTTCAAAATGGCTCTATGAAAAGGTATGTTCAACTCTGTGAGTTGAAAGCAAACATAACAAAAAGTTTCTGAGAATGCTTCTGTCTAGTTTTATCTGAAGATATTTCCTTTTTCCAATATAGGACCCAAGGTGCTCCAAATATTCCTTTGCAGATGGTACAAAAAGAGTGTTTCAAAGCTCCTCTATCAAAAGAAAGGTTCAACTCTGAGTTGAACACACACAACACAAAAAAGTTTCTTGGAATGCTTCTGTCTGGTTTTTATGTGAAGATATTTTTTTTTCCACCATAGGCCTCAAGGTGCTCCAAATATCCACTTACAGATTTTAAAAAAGTGTGTTTCAAAACTGCTCAATCAAAAGAAATGTTCAATTCTGTGAGTTGAATGCACACATGACAACGAGGTTTTCGAGAATGCTTCTGTCTAGTTTTTATGGAACGATTTTTCCTTTTCCACCATTGGCCTCAAAGCCCTTCAAATATCCACTTGCAGAAAATACAAAAAGGTTGTTTAAAAAGTGCTCTATCAAAGGAAAAGTTCAACTCAGTGAGTTGAATGCACACATCAGAAGGTAGTTTCTGAGCATGCTTCTGTGCAGTTTTTATGTGAAGATATTTCCTTTTCCACCATAGACCTCAAAGCGCTCCAAATATCGACTTGCGGATTCTACAAGAAGAGTGTTTCAAAACTGCTCAATCAAAAGAAAGTTTCAACTCTGTGAGTAGAATGCACAGATCACAAAGAAGTTTCTGAGAATTCTTCTGTCTAGTTTTTATGTGAAGATATTTCCTTTTCCACCATAGGCCTCAAAGCCCTCCAAATACCCATTTGCAGATTCTTCAAAAAGAGTGCTTCAAAACTGCTCAAAGGAAAGGTTCAACTCTGAGAGATGAATGCATAGATACAAAGAAGTTTCTGAGAATGCTTCTGTCTAGTTTTTATGTGAAGATATTCCCTTTTCCACGATAGGGGTCAAAGCACTTCAAACATCCACTTGCCGATTCTAAATAGTCTTTCAAAACTGTTCATCTAAAGAATGGTTCGAATCCATGAGTTGAATGCACACATGACAAATAAGTTTCTGAGAATGATGCTGTCTAGTTTTTATGTGAAGATATTTCCTTTTCCAATATAGGTGTCGAAGTGCTCCAAATAATCACTTGCATATTCTGCAAAAAGAGTGATTCAAAATTATTCTATCAAAAGATATGTTCAACTCAGTGAGTTGAATGCACACTTCACAAAGAAGTTTTGGAGCATTCTTCAGTCTTGTTTTTATGTGAAGATATTTCCTTTTCCAACATAGGACCCAAAGCACTCCAAATATCCACCTGCAGTTTCTTCAAAAAGGGTGTTTCAAAACTGCTCAATGAAAGGAAAGTTTCAACTCCATGAGTTGAATTCACACATCACAAAGAAGTTTCTGAGAATGCTTCCGTCTAGTTTTTATGGGAACACATTTCCTAATTCACCATAGGCCTCAAAGCACTCCAAATATCCACTTGAATTTTCTACAAAAAGAGGGTTTCAAAACTCATCAATCAAAAGAAAGGTTGAACACTGCGAGTTGAATGCAGATACCACAAAGAAGTCTCTGAGAATGCTTCTGTCTAGTTTTTATTTGAAGATATATATTTTTGAATATAGGCCTCAAAGTGCTCCAAATATGCAACTGCAGGTTCCACAAAAAGAGTGTTTCAAAAGTGCTCTTTCAAAAGAAATGTTCAACTCAGTGTGTTGAAGGCACACATCTCAAAGAAGTTACTGAGAATGCTTCTGCCTAGTTTTTATGTGAAGATATTTCCTTTTCCACCATAGGCCTCAAAGCGCTCCAAATATCCACTTGCACATTCTACAAAAAGAGTGTTTCAAAACTGCTCAATCAAAAGAAATGTTCAACTCTCTGAGTTGAATGCACACATCACAAAGAATTTTCTGAGAATGCTTCTGTCTAGTTTTTATGTGAAGATATTTCCTTTTCCACCATAGGCCACAAGGTGCTCCAAACATCCACTTGCACTTTCTACAAAAAGATTTTTTCAAAACTGCTCAATCAAAAGAAATGTTCAACTCTGAGTTGAATGCACACATCACAAAGAAGTTTCTGAGAATGCTTTTGTCTAGTTTTTATGTGAAGATATTTCCTTTTCCACCATAGGCCTCAAAGCGCTCCAAATATCCACTTGCAGATGTACTAAAAGATTGTTTGAAAACTGCTCCATCAAAAGAAAGCTTCATCTCTGTGAGTTGAATGCACACTTCACAAAAAATTTCGGAGAATGCTTCCATCTAGTTTTATGTGAAGATATTTTCTTTTCCACCTAAGGCCTCAAAGCGCTCCAAATATGTACTTGCAGATCCTACAAAAAGAGTGTTTCATAACTACTCTATGAAAAGAAAAGTTCAACTCTGTGAGTTGAATGCACTTATCAGAAAGAAGTTTCTGAGAATGCTTCTGTCCAGTTTTCATGTGAAGATATTTCCTTTCCCACCATAGGCCTCAAAGTGCTCCAAACATCCACTTGCAGATTCTACAAAAAGTGTGTTTCAAAACTGCTCCAATGAAAGAAACGTTCAACACTGTGAGTTGAATGCACACATCAGAAAGAAGTTTGTGGGAATGCTTCTGTCTACTTTTTATGTGAAAATATTTCCTTTTCCAATGTAGGCCTCAAAACGCTCCAAATATGCACTTGCAGATTCTACAAAAAGAGTGTTTCAAAACTGCTGTATTGAAAGAAACGTTCAATTTTGTGAGCTGAATGCACACATCACAAAGAAGTTTCTGAGAATGATTCTGTCTAGTTCTTATGGGAAGATATTTCCTTTTCCACCAGAGGCCTCAAAGTGCTCTGAATATCTACGTGCAGATACTACAAAAAGAGTGATTCAAAACTGCTCTTTCAAAGGAAAGGTTCAACTCTCTGAGTTGAATTCACAGATCACAAAGAAGTTTCTGAGAATGCTTCTGTCTACTTTTTATGGGAAGATATCACCTTCTCCACCATAGGCATCAAAGTGCTCAAACTATACACTTGCAAATAATACAAAAAGAGTGTTTCAAATCTACTTTCTCAAAAGAAAGGTTTAACTCTGTGAGTTGAATGCACATATCAAAAAGAAGTTTCTGAGAATGCTTCTGTCTAATTTTCATTGGAAGATATTTCCTTTTCCATGATAAGCCTCAATGTGCTTCACATATCTACTTGCAGATACTACAGAAAGACTGATTTAAAACTGCTCAATCAAAAGAAATGTTGAACTCTTTAAGTTGAATGCACACATCACAAAGAAGTTTCTGAGAATGCTTCTGTCTAGTTTTTATGTGAAGATATTCCCTTTTCCAATATAGACCTCCAAGTGCTCCAAATATCCACTTCTAGATTCTATAAAGAGAGTGTTTGAAAACTGCTCTAACAAAAGAAAGGTCCAACTCAGTGAATTTAACACACACATCACAAAGAAGTTTCTGAGAATGCTTCTGTCTAGTTTTTATGGGAAGATATTTCCTTTTCCACCATATATCAAAAGGTGCTCCATATATCCACTTGCAGATTCTTCAAAAAGGGTCTTTCAAAACTGCTCAATCAAAGGAAAAGTTCAACTGTGTGGGTTGAATGCACAGATCACAAGGAAGTTTCTGAGAATGTTTCTGTCTAGTTTTTATGGAAGATATTTACTTCTCCACCATATGCCTCAAAGCACTCAAAATATCCAGTTGCAAATAATACAAAAAGAGTGTTTCAAATCTGCTCTATCAAAACAAAGGTTCAACTCTGTGAGCTGAATGCACATATCACAAAGAAGTTTCTGAGAATGCTTCTATCTACTTTTTATGGGAAGATATTTCTTTTTCCACCATAAGCCTCAATGCGTTCCAAATATCTACTTGTAGATTCTACAAAAAGAGTGATTTAAAACTGCTCAATCAAAGGAAATGTTCAACTCTTTGAGTTGAAAGCACACATCGCAAAGAAGTTTCTGAGAATGCTTCTGTCTACTTTTTATGGGAAGATATTTCTTTTTCCACCATAAGCCTCAATGCGCTCCAAATATCTACTTGTAGTTTCTACAAAAAGAGTGATTTAAAACTGTTCAATCAAAGGAAATGTTCAACTCTTTGAGTTTAAAGCACACATCACAAAGAAGTTTCTGAGAATGTTTCTGTCTACTTTTTATGTGAAGATATTTCCTTTTCCAATATAGGCCACAAATTGCTCCAAATATCCGCTTGTAGATTCTACAAAAAGAGTGTTTCAAAACTGCTCTATCAAAAGAAACGTACAACTCAGTGAGTTGAATGCACACATCACGAAGAAGTTCCTGAGAATGCTTCTGTGTAGTTTTTATATGAACATATTTCCTTTTCCACCTTAGGCCTCAAAACGCTCCAAGTATCCACTTGCAGATTCTACTAAAAGAGTGTTTCAAAACTACTCTATCAAAAGAAAGGTTCACCTCCATGAGTTTAATGCACACATCACAAAGTAGTTTCTCAGAATGCTTCTGTCTATTTTTTATGTGAAGATAAATCATTTTTTACCTTACACGTCAAAACGCTCCAAACATCCACGTGCAGATTCTACAAAAAGAGTGATTCAAAACTGCTCAAGCAAAAGAAAGTTCAACTCTGTGAGTTGAATAAACACGTCACAAAGAAGTTTCTGAGAATGCTTCTGTTTACTTTTTCTGGGAAGATATTTCCTCTCCCACCATAGGCCTCAAAGCGCTCCAAATATCCACTTGCAGTTTCTTCAAAAAGATTGTTTCAAATCTGCTCTATCAAAAGAAAGTTTGAACTCTGTGAGTTGAATGCACATATCACAAAGAATTTTCTGAGAATACTTCTGTCTAATTTTTATATGAAGATATTTCCCTTTCCACCATAGGCTGCAAAGGGCTCCAAATATCCACTTGCAGATTCTACAAAAAATTAGTTTCAAAGCTGCTCTATCAAATATAGGTTCAACTCTGGGAGTTCAATGCTCACATCACAAAGAAGTTTCTCAGAATGCATATGTCTAGTTTTTATGTGAAGATATTTTCTTTTCCACCATCGGACTCAAACTGCTCCAAATCTCCACTTGTAGATTCTACAAAAAGAGTGTTACAAAACTGTTCAATCAAAAGAAATGTTCAACTCTGTGAGATGAATGCACACATCAGAAAGCAGTTTCTCAGAATGCTTCCATGTAGTTTTTATGTGGGGATATTTCCTTTTCCACCATAGGCCACAAAGGGCTCCAAATATCCATTTGCAAATTCTTCAAAAAGAGAGTCTCCCAACTCCTCTATCAAAAGATAGGTTGAACTCTGCGAGCTGAATGCACATATCACAAAGAAGTTTCTCAGAATTCTTTGGTGTAGTTTTTATGTGAAGATATTCCCTTTTCCACCATAAGCCTCAAAGCCCTCCAAATATCCACTTGCAGATTCTACGAAAAGAATATTTCACAACTGCTCAATCAAAAGAAAGGTTCAACTCTGTGAGATGAATGCACACATCACAAAGAAGTTTCTCAGAATGCTTCTGTGTTGTTTTTGTGGGAAGATGTTTTATTTTCCACCACAGGCCTCAAAGAGCTCCAAATATCCAATTGCAGATTCTACGAAAAGGATGTTTCAAAACTGCTCAATCAACACATAGGTTCACCACTGCGAGATGAATGCACACATCACAAAGAAGTTTCTGAGAATGCGTCTGTGTAGTTTTTATGTGAAGATATTTCTTTTTCCACAATAGGCTTCAAAGTGCTCCAAATATCCACTTGAAGGTTCTACAAAAAGACAGTTTCAAAACTGCTAAATCAAAAGATAGGTTCATCTCTGTGAGATGAATGCACACATCACAAAGAAGTTTCAGAGAATGCTTCTGTGCAGTATGTTTGTGAAGATATTTCCTTTTGCACAATAGGCCTCAAAGCACTCCAAATATTTAATTGCAGATTCTACAAAAACAGTGTTTCAAAACTGCTCAATCAAATGAAATGTTCAACTCTGTGAGATGAATGCACACATCACAAAGAAGTTTCTCAGAATTATTCTGCGTAGTTTTTATGTGAAGATATTTCTTTTTCCACCATAGGCCTCCAAGGGCTCCCAATATCCACTTGCAGATTCTACAAAAAGTTAGTTTACAAACTTCTCAATCAAATGAAGTGTTCAACACTGTGAGATCAATGCACACACCACAAAGAAGTTTCTCAGAATGCTTCTGTGTAGATTTTATGGGAAGATATTTCCTTTTGCACCATATTCCCCAAGAGCTCCAAATATCCACTTGTAGATTCTGCTTAAAGACTGTTTCATAACTGTTCTACCAAAAGATACGTTCAACTCTGTGTGATGAATGCACACTTCACAGACAATTTTCTCAGAATGCTTCTGTGTAGTTTTTATGTGAAGATATTTCCCTTGACACCATAGGCCGCAAAGGGCTCCAAATATCCACTTTCAGATTCTACAAAAAGAGTGTTTCAAAACTTCTCAATCAAATGAAGTGTTCAACACTTTGAGTTTAATGCACACATCACAAAGGAGTTTCTCAGAATGCTTCTGTGAATTTTTTATGGGAAGGTATTTCCTTTTCCACCATCGGCCACAAATGCCTCCAAATAAACTCTTGTAGATTCTACAAAAAGAAAGTTTCAAACTGCTCTATCAAAAGATAGGTTCAAATCTGTGAGTTGAATGCACACATAACAAAGAAGTTTCTCAGAATGCTTCCCTGCAGTTTTTATATGAAGATATTTCCTTTTCCACCATAGGCCTCAAAGCGCTCCAAATATCCACTTGCAGATTCTATGAAAACAGTGTTTCAAAACTGCTCAATCAAAAGATAGTTTCAACTCTGTGAGATGAATGCATACATGAAAAAGAAGTTTCGCAGAATGCTTCTGTGTAGTTTTCATGTGAAGATATTTCCTTTTCCACAGTAGGCCTCAAAGGTCTCCAAATATCCCCTTTGAGATTCTACAAAAAGGGAGATTCAAAGCTGCTCTATCAAATGATAGTTTCAACTCTGTGAGGTGAATGTACACATCACAAGGAAGTTTCTCAGAATGCTTCTGTGTAGTTTTGATGTGAAGATATTTCCTTTTCCAACACCGGCCACAATGTGCTCCAACTACCACTTGCAGATTCTACAACCAGAGGATTTCAAAACTGCTCTATCAAAAGATATATTCAACTCTGTCAGTTGAATGCACACATCACAAAGAAGTTTCTCAAAATTCCTCTGTGAAGTTTTTATGGGAAGATATTTCCTTTTCCACCATAGGCTTCAAAGGGCTCCAAATGTCCACTTGCAGATTCTACAAAAGGAGACATTCAAAACTACTCTATCAAAAGATAGATTCAATTCTGTGAGTTGAATGCACACATCATGAAGAAGTTTCTCAGAATGCTTCTCTCTAGTTTTTATGTGAAGATATTTCCTTTTCCACCATAGGCCTCAAAACGATCCAAATATCCACTTGCAGATTTTATGAAAAGAGTGTTTCAAAACTGCTCAATCAAAAGAAAGTTCACCTTTGTCAGATGAATGCACACATTACAAAGAAGTTTCTCAGAGTTCTTCTGTGTAGTTTTTATGGGAAGATATTTACTTTCCCATAATAGGCCTCAAAGCACTCCAAATATCCACTTGCAGATTCTACAAAAAGGGTGTTTCCAAACTGCTAAATCAAACGAAGTGTTCAAGTCTGTGAGTTGAATGTACACATCACAAAGAAGTTTCTCAGAACGCCTCTGTGTAGTTTTTCTGTGAAAATATTTCCTTTTCCACCATAGGCCTCCATGGGCTCAAAATATGCACTTGCAGAATCCACTAAAAGAGTTTATCATAACTGCTCAATCAAAAGAAAGGTTCAACTCTGAGAGATGAATGCACTCATCACAAAGAAGTTTCTCAGAATGCTTCTGTGTAGTTTTTATATGAAGATATTTCCTTTTCCACTATAGGCTGCAAAGGGCTCCAAATATCCAATTGCAGATCTCACAAAAAGAGTGTTTCCAAACTGCTCAATCAAAAGACAAGTTAAACTCTGTGAGGTTAATACACACATCACAAAGAAATTTCTCAGATTGCTCTTGGTTGGTTTTTATGTAAAGGTATTACCTTTTCCACCATAGGCCACAAAGGGCTCCAAATATCCACATGGAGATTCTACAAAAAGAGAGTTTCAAAACTGCTCTATCAACATATAGTTTCAACACTGTGAGATGAATATACACAACACAAAATAGTTTCTCAGAATGCTTCCTTGTAGTTTTTATGTGAACATATTTCTTTTTCCACCATAGGCGGCAAAGAGCTCTAAATATCCACTTGCAGATTTTACAACTTGAGAGGTTCAAAACCGCTCTACCAAGAGATACGTTCAACTCCGTGAGATGAATGTACACATGAGAAAGAAGTTTCTCATCATGCTTCTTTGTAGTTTTTATGTGAAGATATTTCCTTTTACACCATAGGCCTCAAAGCGCTACAAATCTCCACTTGCAGATTCTACAAAAAGAGTGTTTCAGAAGTGCTCAATCAAAAGAAAGGTTCAGCTCTGTGAGATGAATGCACACATCCAAAGAAGTTTCTCAGAATGCTTCTGTGTAGTTTTTTGTGAAGATAATTCCTTTTCCACCATAGGCCACAATGATCTCCAAATATCCACTTGCAGATTCTACAAAAAGAGAGTTTTAAAACTGCTCTATCAAAAGATAAGTTTAACTCTGTGGAACGAATGCACACATCACAAAGAAGTTTCTGAGAATGCTTCTGTGTAGTTTTTATGTGAAGATATTTCCTTTTCAATGTTAGTCCTCAAAGCCCTGCAAATATCCACTTGCATTTATTATGAAAAGAGTGTTTCAAAACTGCTCAATAAAAAGAAAGATTCATCTCTGTGAGCTGAATGTACACATCACAAAGAAGATTCTCAGAATGCTTCTGTGTTTTTTTATGGGAAGATATTTCCTTTTCCACAGTAGACCACAAAGCGTGCCAATATCCATTTGCAGATTGTACAAAAAGAGTGTTTCCAAACTGTGCAATGAAAAGAGAGATTCAACTCTGTGAGATGAATGCACACATCAGAAAGAAGTTTCTCAGAATTATTCTGTGTAGTTTTTATGTGAAGATATTTCTTTTTCCACCATGGGCTGCAAAGAGCTCCAAATATACAATTGCAGATTCTACAAAAAGAGTTTCAAAACTGCTCTATCAAAAGATAGTTTCAAATCTGTGAGTTGAATGCCCACTTCGCAAAGAAGTTTCTGAGAATGCTTCTGTGTAGTTTTCATGTGAAGATATTTTCTTTTCTTTTTTTTATTATTATTATACTTTAAGTTTTAGGGTACATGTGCACAATGTGCAGGTTAGCTACATATGTATACATCTGCCATGCCGGTGTGCTGCACCCACTAACTCGTCATCTAGCATTAGGTATATCTCCCAATGCTATCCCTCACCCTTACTCCCACCCTACAGCAGTCCCCAGAGTGTGATGTTCCCCTTCCTGTGTCCATGTGTTCTCATTGTTCAATTCCCACCTATGAGTGAGAATATGTGGTGTTTGGTTTTTTGTTCTTGAGATAGTTTACTGAGAATGATGATTTCCAATTTCATCCGTGTCCCTACAAAGGACATGAACTCATCATTTTTTATGGCTTCATAGTATTCCATGGTATATATGTGCCACATTTTCTTAATCCAGTGTATCACTGTTGGACATTTGGATTGGTTCCAAGTCTTTCCTATTGTGAATAATGCCACAATAAACATACGTGTGCATGTGTCTTTATAGCGGCATGATTTATAGTCCTTTGGGCATATACCCAGTAATGGGATGGCTGGGTCAAATGGTGTTTCTAGTTCTAGATCCCTGAGGAATCGCCACACTGACTTCCACAATGGTTGAACTAGTTGACAGTCCCACCAACAATGTAAAAGTGTTCCTATTTCTCCACATCCTCTCCAGAACCTGTTGTTCCTGACTTTTTGGTGATTGCCATTATAACTGGTGTGAGATGGTATCTCATTGTGGTTTTGATTTGCATTTTTGTGATGGCCAGTGATGTTGAGCATTTTTTCATGTGTTTTTTGGCTGCATAAATGTCTCCTTTGAGAAGTGTCTGTTCATGTCCTTTGCCCACTTTTTGATGGGGTTGTTTGTTTTTTTCTTGTAAATTTGTTTGAATTCATTGTAGATTCTGGATATTAGCCCTTTGTCAGATGAGTGGGTTGCGAAAATTTTCTCCCATTTTGTAGGTTGCCTGTTCACTCTGATGGTAGTTTCTTTTGCTGTGCAGAAGCTCTTTAGTTGGATTAGATCCCACTTGTCAATTTTGGCTTTTGCTGCCATTGCTTTTCATGTTTTAGACATGAAGTCCTTGCCCATGCCTATGTCCTGAATGGTAATGCCTAGGTTTTCTTCTAGGGTTTTTATGGTTTTAGGTCTAACCTTTAAGTCTTTAATCCATCTTGAATTGATTTTTCTATTAAGTGTAATGAATTGATCCAGTTTCAGCTTTCTACATATGGCTAGCCAGTTTTCCCAGCACCATTTATTGAATAGGGAATCCTTTCCCCATTGCTTGTTTTTCTCAGGTTTGTCAAAGATCAGATAGTTGTAGATATGTAGCGTTATTTCTGAGGGTTGTGTTCTGTTCCATTGATCTGTATCTCTGTTTTGGTACCAGTACCATGCTGTTTTGGTTACTGTAGCCTTGTAGTATAGTTTGAAGTCAGGTAGTGTGATGTCTCCAGCTTTGTTCTTTTGGCTCAGGATTGACTTGACGATGTGGGCTCTTTTTTGGCTCCATGTGAACTTTAAAGTAGTTTTTTTCCAATTCTGTGAAGAAAGGCATTGGTAGCTTGATGGGGATGGCACTGAATCTGTAAATTACCTTGGGCAGTATGGCCATTTTCACTATATTGATTCTTCCTACCTATGAGCATGGAATGTTCTTCCATTTCTTTGTATCCTCTTTTATTTCATTGAGCAGTGGTTTGTATTTCTCCTTGAAGAAGTCCTTCACATCCTTTGTAAGTTGGATTCCTAGATATTTTATTCTCTTTGAAGCAATTGTGAATGGGAGTTCATTCATGATTTGGCTCTCTGTTTGTCTGTGGTTGATTTATAAGAATGCTTGTGATTTTTGTACATTGATTTTGTATCCTGAGACTTTGCTGAAGTTGCTTATCAGCTTAAGGAGATTTTGGGCTGAGACAATGGGGTTTTCTAGATATACAATCATGTCGTCTGCAAACAGGGACAATTTGACTTCCTCTTTTCCTAATTGAATACCCTTTATTTCCTTCTCCTGCCTAATTGCCCTGGCCAGAACCTCCAACACTATGTTGAATAGGAGTGGTGAGAGAGGGCATCCCTGTGTTGTGCCAGTTTTCAAAGGGAATGCTTCCTGTTTTTGCCCATTCAGTATGATATTATTTGTTGGTTTGTGATAGATGCCTCTTATTATTTTGAGATAGGTGCCATCAATACCTAATTTATTGAGAGTTTTTAGCATGAAGGGTTGTTGAATTTTGTCAAAGCCTTTTCTGCATCTATTGAGATAATCATGTGGTTTTTGTCTTTGGTTCTGTTTATATGCTGGATTACATTTATTGATTTGCATATATTGAACCAGCCTTGCATCCCAGGGATGAAGCCCACTTGATCATGGTGCATAAGCTTTTTGATGTGCTGCTGGATTCAGTTTGCCATTATTTTATTGAGGATTTTTGCATCAATGTTCATCAAGGATATTGGTCTAAAATTCTCTTTTTTGGTTGTGTCTCTACCCAGCTTTGGTATCAGGATGATGCTGGCCTCATAAAATGAGTTAGGGAGGATTCCCTCTTTTTCTATTGATTGGAATAGTTTCAGAAGGAATGGTACCAGTTCTTCCTTGTACCCCTGGTAGAATTCAGCTGTGAGTCCACCTGGTCCTGGACTCTTTTTGGTTGGTAAGGTATTAATTATTGCCACAATATCAGCTCCTGTTATTGTCCTATTCAGAGATTCAACTTCTTCCTGGTTTAGTCTTTGGAGGGTTTATATGTCGAGGAATCTATCCATCTCTTCTAGATTTTCTAGTTTATTTGCGTAGAGGTGTTGGTAGTATTCTCTGATGGTAGTTTGTATATCTGTGGGATTGGTTGTGATATCCCCTTTATCATTTTTTATTGTGTCTATTTGATTCTTCTCTCTTTTTTTCTTTATTAGTCTTGCTAGCAGTCTGTCGATTTTGATGATACTTTCAAAAAACCAGTTCCTGGATTCGTTAATTTTTTGAAGGGTTTTTTGTGTTTCTATTTCCTTCAGTTCTGCTCTGATTTTAGTTATTTCTTGCCTTCTCCTAGCTTTTGAATGTGTTTGCTCTTGCTTTTCTAGTTCTTTTAATTGTGATGTTAGGGTGTCAATTTTGGATCTTTCCTGCTTTCTCTTGTGGGCATGTAGTGCTATAAATTTCCCTCTACACAGTGCTTTGAATGTGTCCCAGAGATTCTGGTATGTTGTGTTTTTGTTCTCGTTAGTTTCAAGGAACATCTTTATTTCTGCCTTCATTTCGTTATGTACCCAGTAGTCATTCAGGAGCAGGTTGTTCAGTGTCCATGTAGCTGAGCAGCTTTGAGTGTGATTCTTAATCCTGAGTTCTAGTTTGATTGCACTGTGGTCTGAGAGATAGTTTGTTATAATTTCTGTTCTTTTACATTTGCTGAAGAGAGCTTTACTTCCAAGTATGTGGTCAATTTTGGAATAGGTGTGGTGTGGTGCTGAAAAAAATATATATTCTGTTGATTTGGGGTGGAGAGTTCTGTAGATGTCTATTAGGTCCGCTTGATGCAGAGCTGAGTTCAATTCCTGTGTATCCTTTTTGACTTTCTGTCTCGTTGATCTGTCTAATGTTGACAGTGGGTTGTTAAAGTCTCCCATTATTAATGTGTGGGAGTCTAAGTCTCTTTGTAGGTCACTCAGGACTTGCTTTATGAATCTGGGTGCTCCTGTATTGGGTGCATATATATTTAGGATAGTTAGCTCTTCTTGTTGAATCAATCCCTTTACCATTAAGTAATGGCCTTCTTTGATCTGTGTTGGTTTAAAGTCTGTTTTATCTGAGACTAGGATTGCAACCCCTGCCTTTTGTTGTTTTCCATTTGCTTGGTAGATCTTCCTCCATCCTTTTATTTTGAGCCTATGTGTGTCTCCACCCGTGAGATGGGTTTCCTGAATACAGCACACTGATGGGTCTTGACTCTTTATCCAATTTGCCAGTCTGTGTCTTTTAGTTGGAGCATTTAGTCCATTTACATTTAAAGTTAATATTGTTATGTGTGAATTTGATCCTGTCATGATGATGTTAGCTGGTTATTTTGCTCGTTAGTTGACGCAGTTTCTTCCTAGTCTAGATGGACTTTATATTTTGGCATGATTTTGCAGCAGCTGGTACCGGTTGTTCCTTTCCATGTTTAGCGCTTCCTTCAGGAGCTCTTTTAGTGCAGGCCTGGTGGTGACAAAATCTCTCAGCATTTGCTTGTCTGTAAAGTGTTTTATTTCTCCTTCACTTATGAAGCTTAGTTTGGCTGGATATGAAATTCTGGGTTGAAAATTCTTTTCTTTAAGAATGTTGAATATTGGCCCCCACTCTCTTCTGGCTTGTAGGGTTTCTGCTGAGAGATCTGCTGTTAGTCTGATGGGCTTCCCTTTGAGGGTAACCCGACCTTTCTCTCTGGCTGCCCTTAACATTTTTTCCTTCAATTCAACTTTGGTGAATCTGACAACTATGTGTCTTGGTGTTGCTCTTCTCAAGGAGTATCTTTGTGGTGTTCTCTGTATTTCCTGAAACTGAAGGTTGGCCTGCCTTGCTAGATTGTTGAAGTTCTCCTGGATAATATCCTGCAGAGTGTTTTCCAACTTGGTTCCATTCTCCCTGTCACTTTCAGATACACCAATCAGACATAGATTTGGTCTTTTCACATAGTCCCACATTTCTTGGAGGCTTTGCTCATTTCTTTTTATTCCTTTTTCTCTAAACGTCCCTTCTCACTTCATTTCATTCATTTCATCTTCCATTGCTGATACCCTTTCTTCCAGTTGATCGCAACGGCTCCTGAGGCTTCTGCATTCTTCACGTAGTTCTCGAGCCTTGGTTTTCAGCTCCATCAGCTCCTTTAGGCACTTCTCTGTATTGGTTATTCTAGTTATACATTCTTCTTAATTTTTCTCACAGTTTTCAACTTCTTTGCCTTTGGTTTGAATGTCCTCCCATAGTTCGGCATAATTTGATCATCTGAATCCTTCTTCTCTCACCTCATCAAAGTCATTCTCCATGCAGCTTTGTTCCATTGCTGGTAAGGAACTCTGGTCCTTTAGAGGAGGAGAGGTGCTCTGCTTTTTAGAGTTTCCAGTTTTTCTGCTCTGTTTTTTCCCCATCTTTGTGGTTTTATCTACTTTTGGTCTTTGATGATGTTGATGTACAGATGGGTTTTTGGTGTGGATGTCCTTTCTGTTTGTTAGTTTTCCTTCTAAGAGACAGGACCCTCAGCTGCAGGTCTGTTGGAGTACCCGGCCTTGTGACGTGTCAGTCTGCCCCTGCTGGCGGGTGCCTCCCAGTTAGGCTGCTCGGGGGTGAGGGGTCTGGGACCCACTTGAGGAGGCAGTCTGCCCATTCTCAGATCTCCGGCTGCATGCTGGGAGAACCACTGCTCTCTTCAAAGCTCAGATGGAAATGCAGATGGATATTTCCTTTCTACAATAGGCCTCAAAGCACTCCAAATATCTACTTACAGATTCTACAAAAAAATTCAAAACTGCTCTATCAAAAGATAGGTTCAACGATGTGAAATGAATGCACACATCACAAAGAAGTTTCTCAGAATGCTTCTGTGTAGTTTTTATGTGAAGATGTTTTCTTTTTAACCATAGGCCTCTAAGCGCTCCAAATCTTCACTTGCAGATTCTACAAAAAGAGTGTTTCAAAACTGCTCAATCAAGAGAAAGGTTCAACTCTGGGAGATGAATGCATACATCAAAAAGTAGTTTCTCAGAATGCTTCCGTGTAGGTTTTATGTGAAGATATTTCCTTTTCCACCTTAGTCCACAAAGGGCTCCAAATATCCACTTGCAGATTCTACAAGAAGAGAGTTTCAAAACTGCTCTATTAAAAGATAGGTTCATCTCTGTGAGATGAGTGCACATATCACAAACAAGTTTCTGAGAATGATTCTGTCTAGTTTTTATATGAAGATATTTCCTTTTCCACCATAGGCCCCAAAGCGCTTCAAATATCCACTTGCAGATTCTACAAAAAGAGTGTTTCAAAACTGTTCAATCAAAAGAAAGTTCAGCTCTGTGAGATAAATGGACACATCACAAATAAGTTTCCCAGAATGCTTCTGTGTAGTTTTCATGTGGAGATATTTCCTTTTCCACAATAGGCCACAAAGGGCTCCAAATATTCACTTGCAGATTCTACAAAATGAGATTTCAAAACTGCTCTGTCAAAAGATAGCTTCAACACTGTGAGATGAATGCACACGTCACTAAGAAGTTTCTGAGAATGCTTCTGTGTAGTTTTTATGTGAAGACATTTCTTTTTGCAACATAGGCCTCAAAGCACTCCAAATCTCCACTTGTAGAATATATAAAAAGATTGATTCAAAACTGCTCAATCAAAAGAAAGGTTCAACTCGGTTAGATGAATGCACACATCACAAAGTACTTTCTCAGAATGCTTCTGTGTAGTTTTTATGTGAAGACATTTCCTTTTCCACCTTAGACTGCAAAGGGCTGCAAATATCCACTTGCAGTTTCTACAAGAAGAGAGTTTCAAAACTGCCCTATCAAAAGATAGTTTCAAATCTGTGAGTTGAATGCACACATCACAAAGAAGTTTCAGAGAATGCTTCAGTGTAGTTTTCATGTGAAGATATTTCTTTTTGTATAATAGGCCTCAAAGCGTTCCAAATATCCACTTACAGATACTACAAAAAAAGAGTTTCAAAACTGCTCTATCACAAGATAGGTTCAACTATGTGAGTTGAATGCACACATCCCAAAGAAGTTTTTCAGAATGCTTCTGTGTAGTTTTCATGTGTAGATCGTTCCTTTTCCACAATAGTCCTCAAAGTGCTCCAAATCTCCACTTGTAGATTCTACAAAAAGAGTGTTTCAAAACTACACAATCCAAAGAAAAGTTCAACTCTGAGAGATGAATGCACGTATCTCAAAGAAGTTTCTCAGAACGCTTCTGTGTAGTTTTTATTGGAAGATATTTTCTTTTCCACCATAGGCCGCAAGGATCTCCAAATATTCACTTGCAGATTCTACAAAAGTAGAAGTTTCAAAACTGCTCAATCAAA
This sequence comes from Homo sapiens, assembly GCF_000001405.40. Taxonomy (NCBI): domain Eukaryota; kingdom Metazoa; phylum Chordata; class Mammalia; order Primates; family Hominidae; genus Homo; species Homo sapiens. Next base: position 39,453,534 of record NC_000010.11, read on the forward strand.
AGATGGGTTCAACTCTATGAGATCAATGCATACATAACAAAGAAGTTTCCCATAATCCTTCTGTGTAGTTTTTATGTGAAGATTTTTTTTCCTCCATAGGCCTCAAAGCACTCCAAATGTCCACTTGCAGATTCTACGAAAAGAACGTTTCAAAACTGCTCTATCAGAAGATAGTTTCAACTCTGTGAGTTGAATGCTCATATCACAAAGAAGTCTCTGAGAATGCTTCTGTGTAGTTTTTATGTGAACATATTTCCTTTTCCACAAAAGGCCTCAATGCGCTCCAAATATCCACTTGTAGATTCTACAAAAACAGTTTTTCAGAACTGTTAAGTCATACGAAATGTTCAGCTCTGTGAGATGAATGCACACATCATAAAGAAGTTTCTCAGAATGCTTCTGTGTAGTTTTTACAGGATGATATTTCCTTTTGTACAAATGGCCACAAAGGGCTCCAAATAACCACTTGCAGATTTTACAAAAAGTGAGTTTCAAAACTGCTCTATCAAAAGATAGGTTCAACTCTGCGAGTTGAGTGCACACATCAAAAAGAAGTTTTTCAGAATGCTTCTGTGTAGTTTTTATGTGAAGATATTTCTTTTTCCACCGTAGGCCTCATAGCTCTCCAAATATCCAGTTGCAGATTCTACAAAAAGAGTGACTCAAAACTGCTCAATCAAAAGAAAGTCTCAACTCTGTGAGAGGAATGTACACAAAGAAGATTCTGAGAATGCTTCTGTGTAGTTTTTATGTGAAGATATTTCCTTTTCCACCTTAGACTGCAAAGGGCTGCAAATATCCACTTGCAGTTTCTACAAGAAGAGAGTTTCAAAACTGCCCTATCAAAAGATAGTTTCAAATCTGTGAGTTGAATGCACACATCACAAAGAAGTTTCAGAGAATGCTTCAGTGTAGTTTTCATGTGAAGATATTTCTTTTTGTATAATAGGCCTCAAAGCGTTCCAAATATCCACTTGCAGATTCTACAAAAAGAGTGTTTCAAAACTGCTGAATCAAAAGAAAGTTTCAGCTCTGTGAGATGAATGCACACATCACAATGAAGTTCCTCAGAATGCTTCTCTGTAGTTTTTATGTGGAGATATTTCCTTTTCCACCATAGGCTGCAAAGTGCTCTAAATACTGACTTGCAGATTCTACAAAAAGAGAGGTTCAAAACTGCTCTATCTAAAGATAGATAGGTTCAACTCTGTGAGATGAATGCACACGTCACTAAGAAGTTTCTGAGAATGCTTCTGTGTAGTTTTTATTTGAAGATATTTCCTTTTCTACAATAGGCCTCAAAGTGCTCTAAATATTCACTTGCAGATTTTACAAAAAGAGCGTTTCAAAACTGCTCAATCAAATGAAATGTTCAACTCTGTGAGATGAATGCACACATCACAAAGAAGTTTCTCTTTTTCTTTTTTTTCATCTCATTGTCACCTTTTATTTATAAACTGGTAAGAGCACCTGAAGTCTATTTTGTTATTTATTTATTTATTTATTTATTTATTTTTTGGTATTTATTGATCACTCGGGTGTTTCTCAGTGAAGGGGATGTGGCAGGGTCATAGGATAATTGTGGTGAGAAAGTCAGCAGATAAACAGGTGAACAAAGATCTCTGGTTTTCCTAGGCAGAGTTCCCTGTGGCCTTCTGCATTGTTTGTGTCCCTGCATACTTGAGGTTAGGGAGTGGTGATGAGTCTTAACAAGCATGCTGCCTTCAAGCATCTGTTTAACAAAGCACATCTTGCACCGCCCTTAATCCCTTTAAACCTGAGTTGACACAGCACATGTTTCAGAGAGCACTGGGTTGGGGGTAAGGTTATAGATTAACAACATCCCAAGGCAGAAGAATTTCTCTTAGTACAGAACAGAATGGAGTCTCCTATGTCTACTTCTTTCTACACAGACACAGTAACAATCTGATGTCTCTTTCTTTTCCCCACATTTCCCCCTTTTCTTTTAGACAAAACCACCATCATCATCATGGCCCTTTCTTGATGGTCGCTGTCTCTTCAGAGCTGTTGGGTGCACTTGCAGAAAGGCTGTCACTTCACACTTGGAAGATTGCACAGTGGCCAGGCAGAGGTGCTGCTCACTTCCCAGATGGGGCGGCCAGGCAGAGGCGCTCCTCACCTCCCAGATGGGGTGGCCGGGCAGAGACGCTCCTCACCTCCCAGACGGGGCAGCCATGCAGAGACACTCCTCACCTCCCAGACGGGGCAGCCATACAGAGACACTCCTCACCTCCCAGATGGGGCAGCCAGGCAGAGTCACTTCTCACTTCCCAGACAGGCTGGTGGGGCAGAGGCGTTCATCACTTCCCAGACAAGGTGGCTGGGCAGAGGCACTCCTCACTTCCTAGAAAGCATGGCATCTGGACAGAGGCACTACTCACATCCCAGATGATTGGCAGCCAGGCAGAGGTGCTCCTCACATCCCAGACAATGGGCAGCCGGGCAGAGGTGCTCCTCACCTCCCAGATGGGGTGGCTGGGAAGAGGCGCTCCTCACTTCCCAGACAGGGCAGCCGGGCAGAGGAACTCCTCACTTCCTAGATGGGGTGGCCAGGCAGAGATGTTCCTCACATCCCAGACGGGGTGGTGGCCAGGCAGAGGGGCTCCTCACTTCCTAGAACGGGTGGCAGCTGGGCAGAGGTGCTCCTCACTTCCCAGATGGGGCAGCCGGGCATGCAGGCTCCTCACATCCCAGATGATGGGCCGCCAGGCAGAGATGCTTCTCACTTCCTAGACGGGGTGGTGACCAGGAATAGGCAGTAATCTTAGCACTTTGGGAGGCCAAGGCAGGCGGCTGGGAGGTGGAGGTTGTTGTGAGCAGAGATCAGGCCACTGCACTCCAGCCTGGGCAACATTGAGCATTGAGTGAGCAAGAATCCGTCAGCAGTCCCAGCAACTCGGGAGGACGAGGCGGGCAGATCACTCGAGGTCAGGAGCTGGAGACCAGCCCAGCCAACATGGTGAAACCACGTCTCCACCAAAAATACAAAAAGCAGTCAGGTGTGGCAGTGCACGCCTGCAATCCCAGGCACTCAGAAGGCAGAGGCAGGAGAATCACGGGAGCCAGAGGCAGGGAGGTTGAAGAGAGCCGAGATCAAGGCATTACAATTCAGCCTTGGCAACAGAGGGAGACCGAAGGAAAGAAAGAAAGAAAGAAGGAAGGAAGGAAAGAAAGAAAGAAAGAAAGAAAGAAAGAAAGAAAGAAAGAAAGAAAGAAAGAAAGAAAGAAAGAAAGGAAGGAGGGAAGAAAGGAGGGAAGGAAGGAAAGACAAAGAAGTTTCTGAGAATGCTTGTGTGTAGTTTTTATGTGAAGATAGTTCCTTTTCCATAATAGGCCACATAGTGCTCCAAATATCCACCTGCAGATACTACAAAAAGAGTGCTTCAAAACTGGATAATCAAATGAAATGTTCAACTCTGTGAGATGAATGCACACATCACAAAGAAGTTTCGCAGAACACTTCTGTGTAGTTTTTATGTGAAGATATTTCCTTTTCCACCATTGGCCACAAAGGGCTCCAAATAGCCACTTGCATATTGCACAAAAAGAGAGTTACAAAACTGCTCTATCAGAAGATAGGTTCAACTCTGCGAGTTGAATGCACACATCAAAAAGTGGTTTCTCAGAATGCTTCTGTGTAGTTTTTATGTGAAGTTATTCCCTTTTCCACTATAGGCCTCAAAGCGCTCCAAATCTCCACTTGCAGATTCTACAGAAAGAGTGTTTCCAAACTGCTCAATCAAAAGAGATGTTCAACTCTGTGAAATGAAAGCAAACATCACAAAGAAGTTTCTCAGAACGCTTCTGTGTAATTTTTATGTGAACATATTAACTTTTCCACCATAGGCCACAAACCACTCCAAATATCCACTTGCAGATTCTACAAAAAGAGTGTTTCAAAACTGCTCAATCAAAAGAAAGCTTCAACTCTGTGAGATGAATGCTCACATCACAATGAAGTTTCTCAGAATGCTTCTGTCTAGTTTTTATATGAATATATTACCTTTTCCACCACAGGCCTAAAAGCGCTCCAAATATCCACTTGCAGTTTCTACAAAAAGAGGGATTCAAAGCTGCTCAATCAAAAGAAAGCTTCAACTCTGTAAGACGAGTGCACAAATCACAAAAAAATTTCTCAGAAAACTTCTGTCTAGTTTTTATGTGAAGATATCTCCTGTTCCACCATAGGCCTCAAAAGCACTCCAAATATCCACTTGGAGACTCTACAAAAAGAGTGTTTCAAAGCTGCTCAATCAAAAGAAAGGTTCAACTCTGAGAGAATAATGTGCAGATCATGAAGAAGTTTCTCAGAATGCTTCTGTTTAGTTTCTATTTGAAGATATTTCTTTTTCCACCATAGGACTCAAAGCGATCCAAATATCCACTTGCAGTTTATACAAAAAGAGTGTTTCAAAACTGCTCAATCAAAAGAAAGGTTCAAATCTGTTAGATGAATGCACACATAACAAGGAAGTTTCTCATAATGCTTCAGTTTAGTTTTTATATGAAGATATTTCCTTTTCCACCATAGACTGCAAAGCACTCTAAATATCCAGTTGCAGATTCTATAAAAAGAGTGTTTCAAAATTGCTCAATCAAAAGAAAGGTTCTACTCTGTGAGTTGAATGCACACATCACAAAGAAGTTTCTCAGACTGCTCCAGTCTAGTTTTTATGTGAAGATATTTCCTTTTCCACCATAGGCCACAAAGTGCTAAAAATATCCTCTTGCAGATTCTACAAAGACAGTTTTTCAAAACTGCCCAATCAAAGGAAAGATTTAACTCTGTCAAATGAAGGCACACATCACAAAGAAGATTCTCAGAATACTTCTGTCTAGTTTTTAATGAAGATATTTCCTTTTCCCAACTGGCCACAAGTGTATCCAAATATCCACTTGCATATCTTACAAAAAGAGGGTTTCAAATCTGCTTAATCAAAAGAAATATTCAACTCTGTGAAATGAATGCACACATCAAAATGAAATTCCTCATGATGCTTCTGTCCAGTTTTTATGTGAACATAATTTGTTTTCCAAACTCGGGCTCAAAGCGCTCCAAATATCCACTTGGAGATTTACAAAAAGAATTTTTCAAAACTGCTCAATCAAAAGAAAGGCTCAACTCGGTGAGATGAAAGCACATATCACACAGTAGCTTCTCAAATTGCTTCTTTCTCGTTTTTATGTGAACATATTTTGTTTTCCACCATACACCACAAATTGCTCCAAATTTCCACTTGCAGATTCTAGAAAAAGAGTGTTTTGAAACTTCTCAAAGGAAAGTTTCAACTCTGTGAACTGATGCACACATCACAAAGATGTTTCTCAGAATACTCCTGTCTACTTTTTATGTGAAGATACTATCTTTTACACTAGAGGAGGCAAATTGCTCCAAATATCTACTTGCAGATTCTAAAAAAAAGACAGTTTTAAAACTCCTCAATCAAAAGACAGGTTCGTCTCTCTGAGTTGAATGCACACATCAGAAAAGAACTTCCTCAGAATGCTTCTGTCTAGTTTTTATGTGAAGATACTGCCTTTTCCACCTTAGTGCTCTAAGAGCTCTAAATATCCACTTGCAGATTCTACAAAAAGAGTGTTTCAGAACTGCTCAATCAAAAGAAATGTTCAATTCTGTGAGATGAATGCACACATCACAAAGAAGTTTCTCAGATGCTTCTGTCTAGTTTTTATGTGAAGAGATTTCCTTTTGCAGTAGAGGTCGCAAAGCCCTCAATTATCCACTAGCAGATTCTACAAAAAGAGTGTTTCAAACTGCTCAATCAAAAGACATGTTTAACTCTGTAAGATGAATGCACACATCACAAAGAAGTTTCTCAGAATGCTTTTGTATTGTCTTCATGTGAGGATATTTTCTTTTCCAACACAAGCCTCAAAGCACTCCAAATATCCACTTGCAGATTGTACAAAAAGAGTGTTTCAATACTGCTCAATCAAAAGAAATGTTCAACGCTGTGAGATCAATGCACACATCACAAAGAAGTTTCTCAGAATGCTTCTGTCTAGTTTTTATGTGAAGATATTTCCTTTTCCACCATAAGCCACACAAGACTCCAAATATCCACTTGCAGATTCTACAAAAAGAGTGTTTCAAAACTGCTCAATCAAAAGAAAGGTTCAACTCTGTGAGATGAATGCTCACATCACAATGAAGTTTCTCAGAATGCTTCTGTCTAGTTTTTATATGAATATATTACCTTTTCCACCACAGGCCTAAAAGCGCTCCAAATATCCACTTGCAGTTTCTACAAAAAGAGGGATTCAAAGTTGCTGAATCAAAAGAAAGGTTCAACTCTCTGAGATGAACACAGACATCACAAAGAAGTTTCTCAGAATGCTTCCGTTTAATTTTCTTGTGAAGATATTTCCTTTTTCATCATAGGCCTCACAGCGTTCCAAATATCCACTTGCAGATCCTACAAAAAGAGTGTTTCAAAACTGCTCAATCAAACGAAATGTTCAACTCTGTGAGAAGAAAGCACACATCACAAAGAAGTCTCTCCTATAATGATTCCGCTTAGTATTTATGTGAAGGTATTTCCTTTTCCACCATAGGCATAAAAGCACTCCAAATATTCCCTTGAAGATTCTGCACAAAGAGGGTTTCAAAACTTCTCAATAAAAAGAAAGTTTCAACTCTGTGAGATGAATGCACACATCACAAAGAAGTTTCTCAGAATGCCCCTGTTTTGCTTTTATATGAAGATATTTCGATTTCCACCATAGGCGTCAAAGTGCTCCAAATATCCAACTGTAGATTCTACAAAAACAATGTTTCAAAACTGCTCAATCAAAGGGAACGTTAAACTTTGTGAGATGACTGCACACATCACAAAGAAGTCTCTCATAATGCTTCTGCATAGTTTTTATGTGAAGATATTTCCTTTTCCACCATAGGCATAAAAGTGCTCCAAATATCCCCTTGCAGATTCTGCAAAAAGAGCGTTTCAAAACTGCTCAATAAAAAGAAAGTTTCATCTCTGTGAGATGAATGCACACATCACAAAGAAGTCTCTCAGAAGGCTTCTGTCTATTTTTTAAGTGCAGATATTTCCTTTTCCTGTAGAGGTCACAAAGCACTCCAAATATCCACTTGCAGATTCTACAAAAAGAAAGTTTCCAAAGTGCTCAGTCAAAAGAAAGGTTCAACTAAGTGAGATAAATGCATACATAACAAAGAAGTTTCTCAGAAGGCTTCTGCCTAGTTTTTGTTTGAAGACATTTCCCTTTACATCATAGGCCTCAAAGCGCTCCAAATTTCCACTTGCAGATTCTCCAAATGTGTGTTTCAAACTGCTCAATCTAAAGTAAGTTTCAACTCTTTGAGGTGAATGCACAAATCACATAGAAGTTTCTCAGAATGCTTCTGTCTAGTTTTTATGTGAAGATATTTCCTTTTTCACTAGAGGCCACAAATCGCTCCAAATATCCACTTGCAGAGTCTACAAAAAGAGTGTTTCAAAACTCTTCAATGAAAAGAAAGTTTCAACTCTGTGAGTTGAATGCATAACTCACAAAGAAGTTTTTCAGAATGCTTCTGTGTGGTTTTTATGAGAAGATATTTCCGTTTCCAGAACAGGCCTCAAATTGCTCCAAATATCCCCTTGCAGATTCTACAAAAAGAGTGTTTCAAAGCTGCTCAATGAGAAGAATGGTTCAACTCTGTGAGATGAATGCTTCTTTGTAGTTTTTATGTGAAGCAATTTCCTTTTCCACCTTAAGCCTCAAAGCGTTCCAAATATCCACTTTCAGATTCTACATAAATAGTGTTTGGAAACTGACGAATCAAAAGAAATGTTCAACTCTGTGAGATGAATGCACATATCCCAAAGAAGTTTCTCAGAATGCTTCTGTCTAGTTTCTATTTGAAGATATTTCCTTTTCCACCATAGGCTTCAAATCACGCCATATATCCACTTGGAGATTCTATAAAAAGAGTGTTTCAAAACTGCTCAGTCAAAAGAAAGGTTCAACTCTGTGAGATGAATGCAGACATCACTCAGAAGTTTCTCTGAATGCTTCAGTCTAGTTTTTATGTTAAGATATTTCGTTTTCTACCCTCGGCTGCAAAGGGCTTCAAATAGCCACTTGCAGATTCTACATAGTGTTTTGAAACTGATGAATCAAAAGAAAATTTAAAATCTGTGAGATGAGTGCACACATTACACAGAAGCTTCTCAGAGTGCTTCTGTCTAGATGTAATGTGAAGATATTTCCTTTTCCACAGGAGGCCACAGATCCCTCAAAATATCCACTTACAGATTTTTCAAAAAGCGTGTTTCAAAATTGCTCAATGAAAAGAAAGGTTTGATTCTGTTAGTTGAATGTACATATCACAAAAAAGATTCTCAGAATGCTTCTGCCTAGTTTTTATGTGAAGATATTTTCTTTTCCACCAGAGGCCTCAAAGTGCTCCAAATTTCCACTTGCAGATTATTCAAAAAGAGAGTTTCAAAACTGCTCAATTAAAAGAAAATTTCAACTCTGTGAGGTGAATACACACATAAAAAGGAGTTTCTCAGAATGCTTCTGTATAGTTTTTATGTGAAGATATTTCCATTATCAGCAGAGACCAAAGGGCTCCAAATATCCACTTGCAGATTCTACAAAAAGTGTGTTTCAAAGCTGTTCAATCAAAAGAAAGTTTCAACTCTGTGAGATGAATGCACACTGCACAAAGTCATTTCTCAGAATTCTTCTGTCTAGTTTTTATGTGAAGATATTTATTTTCAACCGTAGGCCTCAAAGCACTCCAAATATCCACTTTCAGATTCTACACAAACTGTGTTTGAAATCCGCAATCAAAAGAAAAGTTCAACTCTGTGAATTGAATGCACACATCACACAGAAGTTTCTCAGAATGTTTCTGTCTAGTTTTTATATAAAGATATTACCTCTTCCCAGGAGGCCGCAAAGACCTCGAAATATCCACTTGCGGATTCTACAAAAAATGTGATTCAATACTGCTCAATCAAAAAAAAAGTTTTAACTCTCTGAGTTGAATGCAGACATCACAAAGAAGATTCTCTGAATGCTTCTGTGTATTTTTTATGTGAAGATATTTCCTTTTCCACCATAGGCCCTCGAAATAGACACTTGCAGATTCTACGAAAAGAGTGTTTCAAAATTACTCAATTGAAAGAAAGGTTCAACAATGTGAGTTGAATGAACACATCACAAAGAAGTTTCTGAGAATGCTTCAGTCTAGTTTTTATATGAAGATATATCCGTTTCCACCAGAGGCCTCAAAGTGCTCCAAATATCCACTTGCATATTCTACAAAAAGAGGTTTTCAAAACTGAACAATGAAAAGAAAGTTTCAATTCGTTGAGATGAATGCACACATCACAAAATGTTTCTCAGAATGCTTCTGTCTCGTTTTTATGTGAAGGTATTTCCTTTTCAACCATAGGCCGAAAAGCACTCCAACTATCCACTTGCAGATGCTACAAAAGAGTGTTTCAAACTGGCTCAAACAAAAGAAAGGTTCATCTCTGTGAGTTGAATGCACACATCACAAAGAAGTTTCTCAGAATGCTTCTTTCTAGTGTTTATGTGAATATAGGTCCTTTTCCACCAAAGGCCTCAAACCGCTACAAATATCCATTTGCGGATACTACAAAAAGACTGTTTCAAAACAGCTCAATGAAAGACAGGTTCAACTCTGTGAGTTGAATGCACACATCAAAAAGAAGTTTCTCAGAATGCTTCTGTCTAGGTTTTATGTGAAGATATTTCCTTTTCCACCATAGGCCTCAAAGCGCCCCAAATATCCCATTGTAGATTCTATAAAAAGCGTGTATCAAAACTGCTCAATCAAAAGAAAGGTTCAACACTGTAAGGTGAATGCACACAACACAAAGAATTTTAACAACATGCTTCTGTGTAGTTTTTATGAGGATACTTCCTTTTCCTAAATAGGCCGCACAGGGCTCCAAATATCCCCTTGCAGATTCTATGAAAACAGAGATTCAAATCTGCTCAATCAAAAGATACGTTCAACTCTGTGAGCTGAATGCACACATCACAATGAAGTTTCTGAGAATGCTTCTGTGTAGTTTTTATGTGAAGATATTTCCTTTTCCACCATAGTCCACAAAGGGCTTCAAATATCTACTTGTAGATTCTACAAAAAGAGAGTTTCAAAACTGCTCAATCAAAAGATAGGTTCATCTCAGTGACATGAATGCCCACATTGCAAAGAAGTTTCTCAGAATACTTCTGTGTAGTTTTTATGTGAAGATATTTCCTTTTCAAACATAGGCCTCAAAGCACTCCAAATATCCACTTGCAGATTCTACAAAAAGAGTGGTTCAAAACTGCACAATGAAAAGAAAGTTTCAACTCTCTGAGATGAACGCACACATTGCAAAGAAGTTTCTCAGAATACTTCTGTGTAGTTTTTATGGGAAGATATTTCCTTCTCCACAATAGGCCTCCAAGTGCTTCAAATATCCACTTGCAGATTCTACAAAAAGTGTGTTTCAAAACTCCTTAATCAAAATAAATGTTCAACTTTGTGAGAAGAATGCACACATCACAAAGAAGTCTCCCAGAATGCTTCTGTGTAGTTTTTATGTGAAGATATTTCTTTTTCCAAAATAGTCCACTAAGGGCTCCACATATCCACTTGCAGATTCTACAAAAAGACAGCTTCAAATCTGCTCAATGAAAAGATAGGTTCAACTCTGTGAGTTTAATGCAGACATCACAAAAACGTTTCTCAGAATACTTCTGTGTAGTTTTTATATGAAGACATTTCCTTTTCCACCATAGGCTGCAAATGGCTCCAAATACCCACTTTCAGATTTTACAAAAAGAGAGTTTCAAAACTGCTCTATCAAAATACATGTTCAACACTGTGAGTTTAATGGCTCATCACAAAGAAGTCTCTCAGAATGCTTCTGTGTAGTTTCAATGTGAAGATAATTCCTTTTCCAGCATAGGCCTCAAAGCACACCAAATATCCACCTGCAGATTCTACAAAAAGAGTGTTACAAAACTACTAAATCAAAAGAAAGCTTCAACTCTGTGTCATGAATGCACACATCACAAGTTTCTCAGAATTCTTCTGTATAGTTTTTATGTGAAGATATTTCCTTTTCCACCATAGGCCTTAGAGCGCTCCAAATATCCACTTCCAGAGTCTACAAGAAGTGTGTTTTCAAGCTGCTCTATCAAAAGAAAGGTTCAACTTTGTAAGATGAATGCACACATCACAAAGATTTTTCTCAGAATGCTTCTGTGTACTTTTTATATGTAGACACTTCGTATTCCACAATAGGCCTCAAACCGCTCCAAATATCCACTTGCTTGTTCTACAAAATATTGTTTCAAAACTGCTCAATCAAACGAGAGTTTCAACTCTTTGAGATTAATGCACACATCACAAAGAAGTTTCTCAAAGTGCTTCAGTGTAGTTTTTCTGGGAAGATATTTCCTTTTCCACAGTAGGCCTCAAAATGCTTCAAATATCCAGTTGCAGATTCTATAAAAGAGTGTTTCCTGGATTCATTAATTTTTTGAAGGGTTTTTGTGGCACTATTTCCTTCAGTTCTGCTCTGATTTTAGTTATTTCTTGCCTTCTGCTAGCTTTTGAATGTGTTTGCTCTTGCTTTTCTAGTTCTTTTAATTGTGATGTGAGGGTGTCAATTTTGGATCATTCCTGCTTCCTCTTGTGGGCATTTAGTGCTATAAATTACCCTCTACACACTGCTTTGAATGTGTCCGAAAGATTCTGGTATGCTGTGTCTTTGTTATCACTGGTTTCAAAGAACATCTTTATTTCTGCCTTCATTTCCTGCTGTGCTCAGTAGTCACTCAGGAGCAGGTTGTTCAGTTTCCATGTAGTTGAGTGGTTTTGAGTGAGTTTCTTAATCCTGAGTTCTAGTTTGATTGCACTGTGGTCTGAGAGAAAGTTTGTTATAATATCTGATTTTTTACATTTGCTGAGGAGAGCTTTACTGCCAAATATGTGGTCAATTTTGGAATAGGTGTGGTGCGGTGTTGAAAAAAATGTATATTCTGTTGATTTGGGGTGGAGAGTTCTGTAGATGTCTATTAGGTCCACTTGGTGCAGAGCTGAGTACAATTCCTGGATATCCTTGTTAACTTTCTGTCTCGTTGATCTGTCTAATGTTCACAGTGGGATGTTAAAGTCTCCCATTATTGTTGTGTTGGAGTCTAAGTCTCTTTGTAGGTCACTCAGGACTTGCTTTATGAATCTGGGTGCTGCTGTATTGGGTGCTTATATCTTTAGGGTAGTTAGCTCTTCTTATTGAATTGATCCCTTTACCATTATGTAATGGCCTTCTTTGTCTTTTTTGATCTTTGTTGGTTTAAAGTCTGTTTTATCAGAGACTAGGATTGCAAACCCTGCCTTTTTTTGTTTTCCATTTGCTTGGTAGATCTTCCTCCATCCTTTTATTTTGAGCGTATGTGTGTCTCTGCATGTGAGATGGGTTTCCTGAATACAACACACTGATGGGTATTGACTCTTTATCCAATTTGCCAGTCTGTGTCTTTTAATTGGAGCATTTAGTCCATTTACATTTAAAGTTAATATTGTTTTTTTAATTCAAAAAATAAGTATATTATATATATATATATACACACACACAAATACATAGTATATATTCACTATATGTATGCGTGGGGTGTGGGTGTATGTATATTGGAGAAAAGTTTTTTTTTATTATTATACTTTAAGTTTTAGGGTACATGTGCACATTGTGCAGGTTAGTTACATATGTATACATGTGCCATGCTGGTGCGCTGTACCCACTAACGTGTCATCTAGCATTAGGTATATCTCCCACTGCTATCCCTCCCCCCTCCCCCGACCCCACCACAGTCCCCAGAGTGTGATATTCCCCTTCCTGTGTTCATGTGAACTCATTGTTCAATTCCCACCTATGAGTGAGAATATGCGGTGTTTGGTTTTTTGTTCTTGAGATAGTTTACTGAGAATGATAGTTTCCAATTTCATCCATGTCCCTACAAAGGACATGAACTCATCATTTTTTATGGCTGCATAGTATTCCATGGTGTATATGTGCCACATTTTCTTAATCCAGTCTATCATTGTTGGACATTGGGGTTGGTTCCAAGTCTTTGCTATTGTGAATAATGCCGCAATAAACATACGTGTGCATGTGTCTTTATAGCAGCATGATTTATAGTCATTTGGGTATATACCCAGTAATGGGATGGCTGGGTCAAATGGTATTTCTAGTTCTAGATCCCTGAGGAATCGCCACACTGACTTCCACAATGGTTGAACTAGTTTACAGTCCCACCAACAGTGTAAAAGTGTTCCTATTTCTCCACATCCTCTCCAGCACCTGTTGTTTCCTGACTTTTTAATGATTGCCATTCTAACTGGTGTGAGATGATATCTCATAGTGGTTTTGATTTGCATTTCTCTGATGGTCAGTGATGATGAGCATTTTTTCATGTGTTTTTTGGCTGCATAAATGTCTTCTTTTGAGAAGTGTCTGTTAATGTCCTTCGCCCACTTTTTGATGGGGTTGTTTGTTTTTTTCTTGTAAATTTGTTTGAGTTCATTGTAGATTCTGGATATTAGCCCTTTGTCAGATGAGTAGGTTACGAAAATTTTCTCCCATGTTGTAGGTTGCCTGTTCACTCTGATAGTAGTTTCTTTTGCTGTGCAGAAGCTCTTTAGTTTAATTAGATCCCATTTGTCAATTTTGTCTTTTGTTGCCATTGCTTTTGGTGTTTTGGACATGAAGTCCTTGCCCACGCCTATGTCCTGAATGGTAATGCCTAGGTTTTCTTCTAGGGTTTTTATGGTTTTAGTTCTAACGTTTAAATCTTTAATCCATCTTGAATTGATTTTTGTATAAGGTGTAAGGAAGGGATCCAGTTTCAGCTTTCTACATATGGCTAGCCAGTTTTCCCAGCACCATTTATTAAATAGGGAATCCTTTCCCCATTGCTTGTTTTTCTCAGGTTTGTCAAAGATCAGATAGTTGTAGATATGCGGCATTATTTCTGAGGGCTCTGTTCTGTTCCATTGATTTATATCTCTGTTTTGGTACCAGTACCATGCTGTTTTGGTTACTGTAGCCTTGTAGTATAGTTTGAAGTCAGGTAGTGTGATGCCTCCAGCTTTGTTCTTTTGGCTTAGGATTGACTTGGCAATGCGGGCTCTTTTTTGGTTCCATATGAACTTTAAAGTCGTTTTTTCCAATTCTGTGAAGAAAGTCATTGGTAGCTTGATGGGGATGGCATTGAATCTGTAAATTACCTTGGGCAGTATGGCCATTTTCACGATATTGATTCTTCCTACCCATGAGCATGGAATGTTCTTCCATTTGTTTGTGTCCTCTTTTATCTCCTTGAGCAGTGGTTTGTAGTTCTCCTTGAAGAGGTCCTTCACATCCCTTGTAAGTTGGATTCCTAGGTATTTTATTCTCTTTGAAGCAATTGTGAATGGGAGTTCACTCATGATTTGGATCTCTGTTTGTCTGTTGTTGGTGTATAAGAATGCTTGTGATTTTTGTACATTGATTTTGTATCCTGAGACTTTGCTGAAGTTGCTTATCAGCTTAAGGAGATTTTGGGCTGAGACGATGGGGTTTTCTAGATAAACAATCATGTCGTCTGCAAACAGGGACAATTTGACTTCCTCTTTTCCTAATTGAATACCCTTTATTTCCTTCTCCTGCCTGATTGCCCTGGCCAGAACTTCCAACACTATGTTCAATAGGAGCGGTGAGAGAGGACATCCCTGTCTTGTGCCAGTTTTCAAAGGGAATGCTTCCCGTTTTTGCCCATTCAGTATGATATTGGCTGTGGGTTTGTCATAGATAGCTCTTATTATTTTGAAATGCGTCCCATCAATACCTAATTTATTGAGAGTTTTTAGCATGAAGGGTTGTTGAATTTTGTCAAAGGGTTTTTCTGCATCTATTGAGATAATCATGTGGTTTTTGTCTTTGGCTCTGTTTATATGCTGGATTACATTTATTGATTTGCGTATATTGAACCAGACTTGCATCCCAGGGATGAAGCCCACTTGATCATGGTAGATAAGCTTTTTGGTGTGCTGCTGGATTCGGTTTGCCAGTATTTTATTGAGAATTTTTGCATCAATATTCATCAAGGTTATTGGTCTAAAATTCTCTTTTTTGGTTGTGTCTCTGCCCGGCTTTGGTATCAGAATGATGCTGGCCTCATAAAATGAGTTAGGGAGGATTCCCTCTTTTTCTATTGATTGGAATAGTTTCAGAAGGAATGGTACCAGTTCCTCCTTGTACCTCTGGTAGAACTCGGCTGTGAATCCATCTGGTCCTGGACTCTTTTTGGTTGGTAAACTATTGATTATTGCCACAATTTCAGAGCCTGTTATTGGTCTATTCAGAGATTCAACTTCTTCCTGGTTTAGTCTTGGGAGAGTGTATGTGTCGAGGAATGTATCCATTTCTTCTAGATTTTCTAGTTTATTTGCGTAGAGGTGTTGGTAGTATTCTCTGATGGTAGTTTGTATTTCTGTGGGATTGGTGGTGATATCCCCTTTATCATTTTTTATTGTGTCTATTTGATTCTTCTCTCTTTTTTTCTTTATTAGTCTTGCTAGCGGTCTATCAATTTTGTTGATCCTTTCAAAAAACCAGCTCCTGGATTCATTGATTTTTTGAAGGGTTTTTTGTGTCTCTATTTCCTTCAGTTCTGCTCTGATTTTAGTTATTTCTTGCCTTCTGCTAGCTTTTGAATGTGTTTGCTCTTGCTTTTCTAGTTCTTTTAATTGTGATGTTAGGGTGTCAATTTTGGATCTTTCCTGCTTTCTCTTGTAGGCATTTAGTGCTATAAATTTCCCTCTACACACTGCTTTGAATGCGTCCCAGAGATTCTGGTATGTGGTGTCTTTGTTCTCGTTGGTTTCAAAGAACATCTTTATTTCTGCCTTCATTTCGTTATGTACCCAGTAGTCATTCAGGAGCAGGTTGTTCAGTTTCCATGTAGTTGAGCGGCTTTGAGTGAGATTCTTAATCCTGAGTTCTAGTTTGATTGCACTGTGGTCTGAGAGATAGTTTGTTATAATTTCTGTTCTTTTACATTTGCTGAGGAGAGCTTTACTTCCAAGTATGTGGTCAATTTTGGAATAGATGTGGTGTGGTGCTGAAAAAAATGTATATTCTGTTGATTTGGGGTGGAGAGTTCTGTAGATGTCTATTAGGTCTGCTTGGTGCAGAGCTGAGTTCAATTCCTGGGTATCCTTGTTGACTTTCTGTCTCGTTGATCTGTCTAATGTTGACAGTGGGGTGTTAAAGTCTCCCATTATTAATGTGTGGGAGTCTAAGTCTCTTTGTAGGTCACTCAGGACTTGCTTTATGAATCTGGGTGCTCCTGTATTGGGTGCATAAATATTTAGGATAGTTAGCTCCTCTTGTTGAATTGATCCCTTTACCATTATGTAATGGCCTTCTTTGTCTCTTTTGATCTTTGTTGGTTTAAAGTCTGTTTTATCAGAGAGTAGGATTGCAACCCCTGCCTTTTTTTGTTTTCCATTTGCTTGGTAGATCTTCCTCCATCCTTTTATTTTGAGCCTATGTGTGTCTCTGCACGTGAGATGGGTTTCCTGAATACAGCACACTGATGGGTCTTGACTCTTTATCCAACTTGCCAGTCTGTGTCTTTTAATTGAAGAATTTATTCCATTTATATTTAAAGTTAATATTGTTATGTGTGAATTTGATCCTGTCATTATGATGTTAGCTGGTGATTTTGCTCGTTAGTTGATGCAGTTTCTTCCTAGTCTCGATGGTCTTTACATTTTGGCATGATTTTGCAGCGGCTGGTACCAGTTGTTGCTTTCCATGTTTAGCGCTTCCTTCAGGAGCTCTTTTAGGACAGGCCTGGTGGTGACAAAATCTCTCAGCATTTGCTCGTCTGTAAAGTATTTTATTTCTCCTTCACTTCTGAAGCTTAGTTTGGCTGGATATGAAATTCTGGGTTGAAAATTATTTTCTTTAAGAGAAAAACCACATTATTATCTGAATCAATGCATAACAGGCCTTTGACAAAATTCGACAACCCTCCATGCTAACAACTCTCAATAAATTAGGTATTGATGGATGTATCTCAAAATAATAAGAGATATCTATGACAAACCCACAGCCAATATCACACTGAATGGTCAAAACTGGAAGCATTCCCTTTGATAACTGGCAAAAGACAGCGATGCCCTCTCTCACCACTCTTATTCAACATAGTGTTGGAAGTTATGGCCAGGGCAATTAGGCAGGAGAAGGAAATAAAGGGTATTCTATAAGGAAAAGAGGAAGTCAAATTGTCCCTGTTTGCAAATGACATGATTGTATATCTAGAAAACCCCATTGTCTCAGCCCAAAATCTCGTTAAGCTGATAAGCAAATTCAGCAAATTCTCAGGATACAAAATCAATGTACAAAAATCATAAGCATTCTTATACACCAATAACAGACAAATAGAGAGCCAAATCATGAGTGAACTCCCATTCACAATTGCTTCAAAGAGAAAAAAATACCTAGGATTACAACTTACAAGGGATGTGAAGGACCTCTTCAAGGAGAACTACAAACCACTACTCAATGAAATAAAAGAGGATACAAACAAATGGAAGAACATTCCATACTCATGGGTAGAAGGAATTAATATCGTGAAAATGGCCATACTGCTCAAGGTAATTTATAGATTCAAATCCATCCCCATCACACCACCAATGACTTTCTTCACAGAATTGGAAAAAACTACTTTAAATTTCATATGGCACCAAAAAAGAGCCCGCATCGCCAGGTCAATCCAAAGCCAAAAGAACAAACCAGGAGGCATCATGCTACGTGACTTCAAACTATACTACAAGGCTACAGTAACCAAAACAGCATAGTACTGGTACCAATACAGAGATATAGACCAATGGAACAGAACAGAGCCCTCGGAAATAACACTGCATATCTAAAACTATCTGATCTTTGACAAACCTGAGAAAAACAAGCAATGGCGAAAGGATTCCCTATTTAATAAATGGTGCTGGGAAAACTGTCTAGCCATATGTAGAAAGCTGAAACTGGATCCCTTCTTTACACCTAATGCAAAAGCTAATTCAAGATGGATTAAAGACTTAAACGTTAGACTTAAATCCATAAAAACCCTAGAAGAAAACCTAGGCATTACCATTCAGGACATAGGCCTGGGCAAGGACTTCATGTCCAAAACACCAAAAGCAATGGCAACAAAAGACAAAATTGACAAATGAGATCTAATTAAACTAAAGAGCTTCTGCACAGCAAAAGAAACTACCATCAGAGTGAACAGGCAACCTACAAAATGGGAGAAAATTTTCACAACCTACTCATCTGACAAAGGGCTAATATCTAGAATCCACATTGAATTCAAACAAATTTACAAGAAAAAAACAAAAAACCCCATCAAAAAGTGGGCAAAGGACATGAACAGACACTTCTCAAAAGAAGACATTTATGCAGCCAAGAAACACATGAAAAAATGCTCACCATCACTGATCATCAGAGAAATGCAAATCAAAACCACAATGAGATACCATCTCACACCAGTTACAATGGCTATCATAAAAAGTCAGGAAATAACAGGTGCTGGAGAGGATATGGAGAAATAGGAACACTTTTACACTGTTGGTGGGACTGTAAACCAGTTCGACCATTGTGAAAGTCAGTGTGGCGATTCCTCAGGGATCTAGAACTAGGAATCCCATTTGCCCCAGCCATCCCATTACTGGGTATATACCCAAAGGACTATAAATCATGCTGCTATAAAGACACATGCACACATATGTTTCTTGTGGCACTATTCACAATCGCAAAGACTTGGAACCAACCCAAATGTCCAACAATGATAGACTGGATTAAGAAAATGTGGCACACATACACCATGGAATACTAAGCAGCCATAAAAAATGATGAGTTCATGTCCTTTGTAGGCACATGGATGAAATTGGAAATCATCATTCTCAGTAAACTATTGCAAGAACAAAAAACCAAACACAGCATATTCTCACTCCTAGGTGGGAATGGAACAATGAACACATGGACACAGGAAGGGGAACATCACACTCTGGGGACTGTGGTGGGGTAGGGGGAGGGGGGAGGGATAGCTTTAGAAGATATACCTAATGCTAAATGACGAGTTAATTGGTGCAGCACACCAGCATTGCCCATGTATACATATGTAACTAACTTGCATATTGTGCACATGTACCCTAAAACTTAAAGTATAATAATAAGAAAATTAAAAAAAGAGTGTTTCCAAACTGCTCAATCAAAAGAAAGCATCAACTCGCTGAGTTGAATGCATACATCACAAAGAAGCTTCTCAGAATGCTTCTGTGTAGTTTCTTTGTGAAGATATTTCCTTTTCCACCAGAGGCCCCAAAGCGCTCCAAATATCCACTTGCAGATTCTCAAAAAGAGTGTATGAAAACTGCTCCATCAAAAGAAAAGTTCAACTCTGTCAGATGAATGCACACTTCACAAAGAAGTTTCTCAGGATGCTTCCGTGTAGTTTTTATGTGAAGATATTTCCTCTTTCCGTATAGGCCTCAGAGCACTCCAAATATCCACTTGCGGATTCTGCAAAAAGAGTGTTTCCAAACTGCTCAATCAAAAGAAATGTTCAAATCTGTGAGATGAATGCACACATCAAAGATGTTTCTCAGAATGCTTCTGTGTAGTTTTTGTGTGAGGTTATTTCCTTTTCCAACATAGGCTGCAAAGGGCTCCAAATATCCACTTGAAGATTCTACAAAAAGTTTCAAAACTGCTCAATCAAAATATAGGTGCAACTCTGTGATTTGAAAGCACACATCGTAAAGTAGTTTCTCAGAATGATTATGTGTAGTTTTTATGTGAAGGTATTTCCTTTTCCACAATAAGCCTCAAAACAGTTCGAATATCCACTTACAGATTCTACAAAAAGAGTGTTTCCAAACTGCTGAATCAATAGAAAGCTTCAACTCTGTGAGTTGAATGCACACATCACAAGAAAGTTTCTCAGAATGCTTCTGTGTACTTTCTATGTGAAGATATTTCCTTTTCCACCATAGGCCTCAAAGCGCTCCAAATATCCACTTGCAGATTTTACAAAAAAAGGATTCCAAAACTGCTCTATCAAAAGATATGTTCAACTCTGTGAGTTGAATGGACATATCACAAAGAAGTTTCTCAGAATGCTTCTGTGTAGTTTCTATGTGAAGTTGTTTCCTTTTACACCATTGGCCCGAAAGCGCTCCAAATATCCACTTGCAGATACTGCAAAAAGAGTGTTTCCAAACTGCTCAATCAAAAGAAAGATTCACTTCTGTGAGATGAATGCACACATCACAAAGAAGTTTCTCAGTATGCTTCTGCATAATTTTTATGTGGAGATATTTCCTTATCTACCATAGGCCTCAAAGCGCTCCAAATATCCACATGCACATACTAGAAAAAGATTGTTTCAAAACTCCTCAATCAAAAGAAAGGTTCAACTCTGTGAGATGAATGCACACATCACAAAGAAGTTACTCAGAATGGTTCTGTATACTTTTTATGTGAAGATATTTCCTTTTCAACAATAGGCCTCAAAGTGTGCAAAATATCCAATTGGAGATTCTACAAAAAGTGTGTTTCCAAACTGCTCAATCAAAAGAAAGGTTCAGCTCTGTGAGATGAATACACACATCACAAGGAAGTTTCTGAGAATGCTTCTGTGTAGTTTTCATGTGAAGATATTTCGTTTTCCACAATAGGCCTCAAAGCACTCCAAATATCCCCTTGCAGATTCTACAAAAAGAGTGTTTTAAAATTGCTCAATCAAAGAAAGATTCAACAATGTGAGATGAATGCACACATGATAAAGACGTTTCTCTGAATGCTTCTGTGCAGTTTTTTTCTGAAGATATTTCTTTTTCCAACATATGCCACAATGGGCTCCAAATATCCACTTGCAGATTCTACACAAAGAGAGTTTTAAAACTGCTCTTTCAAAAGATAGGTTCAACTCGGTGAGTTGAATGGATACATCACAAAGAAGTTTCTCAGAATGCTTCTGTGTACATTTCATGTGAAGATACCTCCCTTTCCACCATAGGCCACAAAGTGCTCCAAATATCCACTTGTGGATTCTGCAAAAAAAGTGTCTCAAAACTGCTCATACAAAAGAAAGCTTCAACTCTTTGTGACGAATGCACACATCACAAAGGCGTTTCTCAGAATTCTTCTGTGTAGTTTTTGAAAGAAGATATTTCCTTTTCCACCATTGGCCTCAAAGTGCTCCAAATATCCACTTGCAGATTCTACAAAAAGAATTTTTTCCAACTACTCAAACAAAAGAAAACTTCAACTCTGTGAGATGAGTGAACATGTTGCAAAGAAGTTACTCAGAATGCTTCTGTGTAGTTTTTATGTGAAGACATTTCCTTCTCCACAATAGGCCTCAAATCACTCCAAATATCCAGTTGCCGATTCTACAAAAATATTGTTTCAAAACTGCTCAATCAAAACAGTGGTTCAACTCTGTGAGATGAATGCACACATCACAAAGAAGGTTCTCATAATGATTCTGTATAGTTTTTATGTCAAGATATTTCCTTTTACACATTTGGCCTCAAAGTGCTCCAAATATCCAATTGCAGATTCTACAAAAAGAGAGTTTCAAAACTGCTCAATGAAAATACAGGTTGAACTCTGTGATTTGAATGCACACATCACAAAATAGTTACTGAGAATGCTTCTGTGTAGTTTTTTTTTTTTTTTTTTTTTTTTTGAGATGGAGTCTCGCTCTGTCACCCAGGCTGGAGTGCAGTGGCGGGATCTCGGCTCACTGCAAGCTCCACCTCCCAGGTTCACAACATTCTCCTACCTCAGCCTCCCAAGTAGCTGGGACTACAGGCACCTGCCACTATGCCCGGCTAATTTTTTGTATTTTTAGTAGAGACGGGGTTTCACCATTTTAGCCGGGATGGTCTCGATCTCCTGACCTCGTGATCCGCCCACCTCAGCCTCCCAAAGTGCTGGGATTACAGGCGTGAGCCACCGCACCCGGCCTTCTGTGTAGTTTTTATGTGAAGATACTTCACTTTCCACCATAGCCCACAAAGACTCCAAATATCCACTTGCAGATTTTACAAAAATAGAGTTTCAAAACTGCTCTATCAAAAGGTAGTTTCACCTCTGTGATTTGAATGGACACATCACAAAGAAGTTTCTCAGAATGCTTCTGTGTAGTTTCTAAGTGAAGATATTTTCTTTTCCACCACAGGCCTCAAAGCGCTCCAAATATCGACTTGCATATTCTACAAAAAGAGTGTTTCAAAACTTCTGAATGAAAATAAAGGTTCAGATCTGTGGGATGAATGCACACATCACAAAAATGTTTTTCAGAATGCTTCTCTGTAGTTTCTATGTGAAGATATTTCCTTTTTCACTATAGGCCTCAGAGCACTCCAAATATTCAATAGCAGATTCTACAAAAAGAGTTTTTCCAAACTGCCCAATCAAAAAAATGGTTCAACTATGTGAGGTGAATACACACATCACAAAGAAGTTTCTCAGAATGCTTTTGTGTAGTTATTATGTGAAGATACCTCTTTTCCACCATACACCACAAAGGGCTCTAAATATCCACTTGCAGATTGTATTAAAAGAGAGTTTCCAAACGGCTCAATCAAAATATAAGTTCAACACTGTGACTTAAATGCATACATCACTAAGTAGTTTCTCAGAATGATTCTGTGTAGTTTTTATGTGAAGATATTTCGTTTTCCACAGTAGGCCTCAAAGCGCTCCAAATATCCACTTGCAGATTCTACAAAAAGAGTGTTTCCAATCTGCTCAATCAAAAGAAAGCCTCAACTCTGTGAGATGAATGCACACATAACTAAGAAGCTTCACAGAATGCTTCTGTATAGTTTCTATGTGAAGATATTTCCATTTCCACCATAGGTCTCAAAGCACTCCAAATATCCACTTGCAGATTCTGCAAAATTGTGATTCCAAACTGTTCAATCAAAAGAAAGCTTCAACTCTGTGAGATGAATGCACACATCACAAAGAAGTTTCTCAGAATGCTTCTCTGTAGTTTTTATGTGAAGACATTTCCTTTTCCACAAAAGGCCTCAAAGGGCTCTAAATATCCACTTGTGGATTCTAGAAAAAGATAGTTTCAAAACTGCTCAATCAAAAGAGAGGTTCAACTCTCTCAGGTGAATGCACACATCACAAAGAAGTTTCTCAGAATGCTTCCATGTAGTTTTTATCCGAAGATATTTGCTTTTCCACCATAGGCCAGAAAGGGCTCCAAGTATCCACTTAGAGATTCTAGAAAAAAGACTTTCAAAACTGCTCAATAAACATATAGGCTCAACACTGTGACTTGAATGAACACATCAGAAAATAGTTTTTCAGAATGCTTCTATGTAGTTTCTATGGGAAGATGTTTCCTTTTCCACCATAGGCCACAAAGTGCTCCAGATATCCACTTGCAGAATCTCCAAAAAGAGTGTTTCAAAATTGCTCTATCAAAAGAAAGTTTCAACTCTGTGAGATGAATGCACACATCACAAACAAGTTTCTCAGGATGCTTCTGTGTAGTTTTTATGTGAAGATATTTCCTTTTCCAAAATAGGCCGCAAAGGGTTAATATTATCCACATGAAGATTCTACAAAAAGAGAGATTCAAATCTGTTCAATCAAAATAAATGTTCAACTCTGTGAATTGAATGCACACATCACAAAGAAGTTTCTCAGACTGCTTCTGTGTGGTTTTATGTGAAGATATTTCCTTTTCCACCAAGGGCCGCAAAGGGCTCCAAATATCCACTTGCAGATTCTACAAAAAGAGAGTTTCAAAACTGCTCAATCAAAATATATGTTTTACTCTGTGAATTGAGTGCATACATTACAAAGTAGTTTCTCAGAATGCTTCTGTGTAGTTTCTATGTGAAGATAATTCCTTTTCCACCACAGGCCTCAAAGCGCTCCAAATGTTCACTTGCATATACTACAAAAAGAGTGATTCAAAACTACTCAATCAAAATAAAGTTTCACCTCTGTGCAAAGAATGCAGACATTGCAAAGAAGTTTCTTAGGATGCTTCTCTGTTGTTTTTATGTGAAGATACTTCTTTCTTCAGTATAGGACTCAGAGCACTCCAAATATCCACTAGCAGATTCTACAAAAAGAGGGTTTCCCAACTGCTCAATCAAAAGAATAGTTCAACTCTGTGGGATGAATGCACACATCACAAAGATGTTTCTCTCAATGCTTCTGAGTAGTTTTTATGTGGAGATATTTCCTTTTCCAAAATAGGGGGCTAATAACTCCAAATATTCACTTGCAGATTCTACAAAAAAAGAGATTCAAACCTGCTCAACCAAAAGATAAGTTCAACTCTGTGAGTTAAGTGCATACATCACAAAGTGGCTTCTCAGAATCCTTTTGTGTAGTTTTTATGAGAAGACTTTTCCTTTTCCACAATAGGTCTCAAATCGCTCCAAATATCCCCTTGCAGATACTAAAAAAAGATTGTTACAAAACTGCTCAATCAAAATAGAGGTTCAACACTGTGAGATGAATGTACACACCACAAGGAACTTTCTCAGAATGCTTCTGTGTAGTTTTTATATGAAGGTATTTCCTTTTCCAAAATAGGCCACTAAAGGCTCCAAATATCTACTTGCAGAATTTCCAAAAAGAGATATTTAAATCTGCTCAATCAAAAGCTAGGTTCAACTCCATGAGTCCAATGGACACATCACAAAGTAGTTTCTCAGAATAATTCTGCATAGTTTCCATGTGAAAGTATTTCCTTTTCCACCTTAGGCTCAAAGCTCTCCAAATATCCAGTTGCAGATTATACAAAAAGAATGTTTCAAGCTGCTCAATCAACAGAAAGTTTCACCTCCGTGAGATGAATGCACACATCACAAACAGGTTTCTCAGAATGGCTCTGTATAGTTTTCAGGTGAAGATATTTCCTTTTTCACTATAGGCCTCAGACCGCTCCAAATATCACTTGCAGATTCTACAAAAAGAGTGTTTCCAAACTGCTCAATAAAAAGAAACGTTCAACTCTGTGAGATGAATACACCCATCACAAAGAAGTTTCTCAGAATGCTTCTGTGTAGTTTTTATGTGGAGATATTTCCTTTTCCAAAATAGGCCTCAAAGCACTCCAAATATCCACTTGCAGATTCTACAAAAAGAGTGTTTCCAAACTGCTCAATTCAAAAGAAAACTTCAACGCTTTAATCCATCCTGAATTTATTTTTGCATAAGGTGTAACGAAGGGATCCAGTTTCAGCTTTCTACATATGGCTAGCCAGTTTTCCCAGCACCATTTATTAAATAGGGAATCCTTTCCCCATTCCTTGTTTTTCTCAGGTTTGTCAAAGATCAGATAGTTGTAGATATGTGGCGTTATTTCTGAGGGCTCTGTTCTGTTCCATTGATCTATATCTCTGTTTTGGTACCAGTACCATGCTGTTTTGGTTACTGTAGCCTTGTAGTATAGTTGAAGTCAGATAGTGTGATGCCTCCATCTTTGTTCTTTTGGCTTGGGATTGACTTGGCGATGCGGGCTCTTTTTTGGTTCCATATGAACTTTAAAGTAGTTTTTTCCAATTCTGTGAAGAAAGACATTGGTAGCTTGATGGGGATGGCATTGAATCTGTAAATTACCTTGGGCAGTATGGCCATTTTCACGATATTGATTCTTCCCACCCATGAGCATGGAATGTTCTTCCATTTGATTGTATCCTCT
>NC_000010.11:39479371-39497198 GCF_000001405.40 Homo sapiens
TAGGCATGGGCAAGGACTTCATGTCTAAAACACCAAAAGCAATGACAACAAAAGACAAAATTGACAAATGAGATCTAATTAAACTAAAGAGCTTCTGCACAGCAAAAGAAACTACCATCAGAGTGAACAGGCAACCTACAAAATGGGAGAAAATTTTCACAACCTACTCATCTGACAAAGGGTTAATATCCAGAATCTACAATGAACACAAACAAATTTACAAGAAAAAACAAACAACCCTATCAAAAAGTGGGTGAAGGACATGCACAGACACTTCTCAAAAGAACACGTTTATGCAGCCAAAAAACACATGAAAAAATGCTCATCATCACTGGCCATTAGAGAAATTCAAATCAAAACCACAATGAGATACCATCTCACACCAGTTAGAATGGCAATCATTAAAAAGTCAGGAAACAATAGGTGCTCGAGAGGATGTGGAGAAATAGGAACACTTTTACACTGTTGGTGGGACTGTAAACTAGTTCAACCATTGTGGAAGTCAGTGTGGCGATTCCTCAGGGATCTAGAACTAGAAATACCATTTGACCTAGCCATCCCATTACTGGGTATATACCCAAAAGACTATAAATCATGCTGCTATAAAGACACATGCACACGTATGTTTATTGTGGCATTATTCACAATAGCAAAGACTTGGAACCAACCCAAATGTCCAACAATGATAGACTGGATTAAGAAAATGTGGCACATATACACCATGGAATACTATGCAGCCATAAAAAATGATGAGTTCATGTCCTTTGTAGGGACATGGATGAAATTGGAAATCATCATTCTCAGTAAACTGTCGCAAGAACAAAAAACCAAACACCGCATATTCTCACTCATAGGTGGGAATTGAACAATGAGATCACATGGACACAGGAAAGGGAATATCACACTCTGGGGACTGTTGTGGGGTGGGGGGAGGGGGGAGGGATAGCATTAGGAGTTATACCTAATGCAAGATGACGAGTTAATGGGTGCAGCGTACAAGCATGGCACATGTATACATATGTAACTAACCTGCACAATGTACACATGTACCCTAAAACTTAAAGTATAATAAAAAAAAAAAGAAAAAAAAAGAAAACTTCAACGCTGTGAGAGGATTGCACGCATCACTAAGAGGTTTCCCAGAATGCTTCTGCAGAGCTTCCCTGTGAAGATATTTGCTTTTCCATCGTAGGCCTCAAAGCACTGCAAATATACACTTGCAGATTCCACAAAAAGTGTGTTTCCAAACTGCTCAATCAACAGAAAGGTTCAACTCTGTCAGATGAATGCACACATCACAAAGAAGTTTGTCAGAATGCTTCTGTGTCGTTTTTATGTGAAGATATTTCGTTTTCCACCATAGGCCACGAAGGGCTCCAAATATCCATTTGCAGATTCTACAAAAAGATAGTTTCAAAACTGCTAAATCAAAAGACAGTTTAAACTCTGTGAGATGAATGAGCACATCACAAGGAAGTTTCTCAGAATGCTTCTGTGTAGTGTTTATGTGAGGATATTTCCTTTTTGACCATAGGCCTCAAAGCGCTCCAAGTACC
This sequence comes from Homo sapiens, assembly GCF_000001405.40. Taxonomy (NCBI): domain Eukaryota; kingdom Metazoa; phylum Chordata; class Mammalia; order Primates; family Hominidae; genus Homo; species Homo sapiens. Next base: position 39,480,928 of record NC_000010.11, read on the forward strand.
CACTTGCAGATTCTACAAAAAGAGTGTTTCAAGACTGCTCAATCAAAGAAAGCTTCAATACTGAGGGATGAATGTAAACATTGCAAAGAATTTTCTCTGAATGTTCTGTGTATTTTTTTTTGAAGATATTACCTTTTCCAACATATGCCACAAAGGGCTCCAAATATGCAATGGCAGAATTTTCAAAAAGAGAGTTTCAAAACTGCTCTATCAAAAGACAGGTTCAACTGTGTGAGTTGAATGGACATATCACAGAGAAGTTTCTCAGTATGCTTCTGTGTAGTTTTTGTGCAAAGACATTTTCTTTTCCACTGTAGGCCTCAAAGTGCTCCAAATATCCACTTCCAGATTCTACAAAAAGAGTGATTCCAAACTGTTCAATGAAAAGAAAGTTTCAACTCTGTGAGATAAATGCACACATCACAAAGAAGTTTCTCAGAATATTTCTGTGTAGTTTTTATGAGAAGATATATCCTTTTACACTATAGGCCACAAAGGGCTAAAAATATTTACTTGCAGATTTTACAGTAAGAGAGTTTCAAAACTGCTCTATAAAAAGATAAATGCAACTCTGTGATTTGAATGCACACATCACAAAACAGTTTCTCAGGATGCTTATGTGTAATTCTTATGTGAAGATATTTCCTTTTCCACCATAGGCCTCAAAGCACTCCACATATACACTTGCAGATTCTACAAAAATAGTGTTTCAAAACTGCTCAATCTAAAGAAAATTTCAACTCTGTGAGTTGAACGCACTCATCGCAAAGATGTTTCTCAGAATGCTTCTGTGTAATTTTAATATGAAGATATTTCCTTTTCCACAATTGGTCTCAAAGCACTTCAAATATCCTCTTGCAGATTCTATAAAAAGAGTGTTTCAAAACTGCTCAATCAAAAGAACGGTTCAACTCTGGTAGATAAATACACATATAACAAAGCGGTTTCTCAGAATGTTTCTGTGTAGTTTTTATGTGAAGATATTTTCTTTTCCAAAATAGGCTGCAAAGTGCTACAAATATCCAATTGCAGATTTTAAAAAAAGAGAGTTTCAAAACTGTTCTATCAAAAGATATGTTCAACTCTGTGAGTTGAATGGACACATCACAAAGGCATTTCTCAGAATGCTTCTGTATAGATTTTATGTGAAGATAATTCCTTTTCCACATAGGCCTCAAAGCACTCCAAATATCCACTTGCAGATTGTACAAAAAGAATGTTTCAATACTGCTCAATCAAAAGAAAGTTTCAACTCTGTGCGATGAATGCACACATCACAAAGAAGTATCTCGGAATGCTTCTGTGTAGTTTCTATGTGAAGATATTTCCTTTTTCAGTATAGGCCTCAGATCACTCCAAATATACACTTGTGGATTCTACAAAAAGAGTTCTTCAAAACTGCTCAACCAAAAGAAAGGTTCAACTCTGTGACATGAATGCACACATCACAAGGAAGTTTCTCAGGATGCTTCTGTGTAGTTTTTATGTGAAGTTATTTCCTTTTCCTCCATAGGCCTCAATGAGCTCCACATATCCACTTGCAGATTGTACAAAAGGAATGTTTCAATACTGCTCAATCAAAAGAAAGTTTCAACTCTGTGCGATGAATGCACACATCACAAAGAAGTATCTCGGAATGTTTCTGTGTAGTTTCTATGTGAAGATATTTCCTTTTTCAGTATAGGCCTCAGATCACTCCAAATATACACTTGTGGATTCTACAAAAAGAGTTCTCAAAACAGCTCAATCAAAAGAAAGGTTCAACTCTGTGACATGAATGCACACATCACAAGGAAGTTTCTCAGGATGCTTCTGTGTAGTTTTTATGTGAAGTTATTTCCTTTTCCTCCATAGGTCTCAATGAGCTCCACATATCCACTTGCAGATTCTACATAAAGAGTGTCTCAAACTGCTCAATCAAAAGAACGGTCCATCTATTGAGATAATCATGTGGTTTTTGTCTTTGGTTCTGTTTATATCCTGGATTATATTTATTGATTTACGTATATTGAACCACTCTTGTATCCCAGGCATGAAGCCCACTTGATCATAAAATTCAACAATTCTTCATGTTAAAAACTCTCAATAAATTAGGTATTTATGTGACTTATCTGAAAATAATAACAGCTATCTATGACAAACCCAAAGCCTTATCATACTGAATGGGCAAAAACTGGAAGCATTCCCTTTGATAACTGTCACAAGACAGGGATGCCCTCTCTCACTACTCCTATTCAACATAGTGTTGGAAGTTCTGGCCAGGGCAATTAGGCAGGAGAAGGAAACAAAGTGTATTCAATTAGGAAAAGAGGAAGTCAAATTGTCCCTGTTTGCAGATGACATGATTGTATATCTAGAAAACCCCATTATATCAGCCAAAAATCTCCTTAAGCTGATAAGCAACTTCAGCAAAGTCTCAGGATACAAAATCAATGTACAAAAATCACAAGCATTCTTATACATCAACAACAGACAGAGAGCCAAATCATGAGTGAACTCCCATTCACAGTTGCTTCAAAGAGAATAAAATACCTAGGAATCCAATTTACAAGGAATGTGAAGGACCTCTTCAAGAAGAACAACAAACCACTGCTCAATGAAATAAAAGAGGATACAAACAAATGGAAGAGCATTCCATGCTCATGGGTAGGAAGACTCAATATCGTGAAAATGGCCATACTGCCCAAGGTAATTTATAGATTCAATGCCATCCCCATCAAGCTACCAATGACTTTCTTCACAGAATTGGAAAAAAGTACTTTAAAGTTCATATGGAACCAAAAGAGAGCCCACATCGCCAAGTCAATCTTAAGCCAAAAGAACAAAGCTTGAGGCATCAAGCTACCTGACTTTAAACTATACTACAAGGCTACAGTAACCAAAGCAGCAGGGTACTGGTACCAAAACAGAGGTATAGATCAATGGAACAGAACAGAGCCCTCAAAAATAATGCCGCATATCTACAACTATCTGATCTTTGACAAACCTGAGAAAAACAGGCAATGGGGAAAGGATTCCCTAAATAATTAATGGTGCTGGGAAAACTGGTTAGCCATATGTAGAAAGGTGAAACTGGATCCCTTCCTTACAACTTATACAAAAATTAATTCAAGATGGATTAAAGACTGAAACGTTAGACCAAAAAACATAAAAACCCAATAAGAAAACCTAGGCATTACCATTCAGGATATAGACATAGGCAAGGACTTCATGTCTAAAACACCAAAAGCAATGGCAACAAAAACCAACATTGACAAATGGGATCTAATTAAACTAAAGAGCTTCTGCACAGCAAAATAAACTACTATCAGAGTGAACAGGCAACCTACAAAATGGAAGAAAATTTTCACAACCTATTCTGTGTAGTTTTTATGTGAAGATATTTCCTTTTCCACAATAGGCCTCAAAGCGCTCCAAATGTCCACTTGCAGGTACAACAAAAACAGTGTTTCAAAACTGCTCAATGAAAAGAAATGTTCAACTCTGTGAGATGAATGCACACATCACAAAGAAGTTTCTCAGAATGCTTCTGTGTAGTTTTTATGTGAAGATATTCCCTTTTCCAGAATAGGCCGCAAATAACTCCAAATATCCACTTGCAGATACTTCAAAAAGAGGGTTTCAAAACTCCTCAATCCAAAGAAAGGTTCAACTCCCTGAGATGAATGCACACATCACAAAGAAGTTTCTCAGAATGCTTCTGTGTAGATTTTATGTGAAGACATATCCTTTTCCACCATAGGCCGCAAAGGGCTCCAAATATCCAGTGGCAGATTCTACCAAAAGAGATTTTCAAAACTGCTCTATCAAAAGATAGGTTCAACTCTGTGAGTTGAATGCACACATCAAAAAGAAGTCTCAGAATTCTTCTGTGTAGTTTTTATGTGAAGATACATCCTTTTCCAACATAGGCCTCAAAGCGCTCCAAATATCCATTTGCAGATTCTAAAAAAGAGTGTTTCCAAACTGCTCAATCAAAAGTAAAGTTCAACTCTGTGAGATGAATGCACACATCACAAAGAAGCTTCTCAGAATACTTCTGTAGGGTTTTTATGTGCAGATATTTCCTTTTCCTCCATAGGCCTCATGGCACACCAACTATCCACTTGCAGATTCTACAAAGAGTGTTTCAAAACTGCTCAATCAAAGAAAAGTTCAACTCTGTCAGATGAATGCACATATCACAAAGAAGTTTCTCAGAATGCTTCTGTGTAGTTTTCATGTGAGGATATTTCCTTTTCCGCAATAGGCCTCAATGTGCTCCAAGTATTCAGTTGGAGATTCTAGAAGAAGAGTGTTTCAAAACTGTTCCATCAAAAGAAAGGTTCAACCCTGTGAGATGAATGCACACAATGCAAAGAAGTTTCTCAGAATGGTTCTGTGTCGTTTTTATGTGAATATATTTCCTTTTCCAACATAGGCTTCAAAGCGCTTCAAATATCCACTTGCAGATTCTATAAAAACAGTGTTTCAAAACTGCTCAATCAAAAGAAAGATTCGACTCTGTGTCATGAATGCACACATCACAAAGAAGTTTGTCAGAATGCTTCTGTGTAGTTTTCATGTGAAGATATTTCCTTTTCCAAAATAGGCCACAAAGGGCTCCAAATATCCACTTGTAGATTCTACAAAAACAGATTCAAATCTGCTCAATCAAAAGATAGGTTCAACACTGTGAGTTGAATGCACACATCACAAAGAAGTTTCTCAGAATGCTTCTGTGTTGTTTTTATGTGAAGATATTTCCTTTTCCACCATAGGCCACAAAGGGCTCCAAATATCCACTTGTAGATTCTACAAAAAGAGAATTTAAAAACTGCTCAATCAAAAGATAGGTTGAACTCTGTGACATAAATGCTCACATTGCAAAGAAGTTTCTCAGAATGCTTCTTTGTATTTTTTTGTGAAGATATTTCCTTTTCCAACATAGGCCTCAAAACGCTCGAAATAGCCACTTGCAGATTCTACAAAAAGAGTGCTTCAAAACTGCTCAATCAAAAGAAAGCTTCAGCTCTGTGAGATGAACGCACACATAACAAAGATGTTTCTCAGAATGCTTCTTTGTAGTTTTTATGTGAAGACATTTCCTTTTCCACAATAGGCCTGAAAGCACTTCAAATACCCACTTGCAGATTCTACAAAAAGAGTGTTTCAAAACTGTTCAATCAAAAGAGAGCTTCAACTCTGTGAGATGAACGCACACAACACAAAGAAGTTTCTCAGAATGCTTCTGTGTAGTTTTCATGTGAAGATATTTCATTTTCCACCATATGCCGCAAAGGGCTCTAAATATCCATTTGCAGGTTCTACAAAAGGAGAGTTTCAAAACTGCTCAATCAAAAGAGAGGTTCAACACTGTGATTTGAATGCACACATCACAAAGTAGTTTCTCAGAATGATTCTGTGTAGTTTTTATATGAAGATATTTCCTTTTCCACCATGGGCCTCAAAGCACTCCAATTATCACTGCAGATTCCACAAAAACAGTGTTTCCAAACTGGTCAATCAAAAGAAAAGTTCAACTCTGTGAGATGAATGCACACATCACAAAGAAGTTTCTCTGAATGCTTCTGTGTAGTTTTTATTGGAAGACATTTTCTTTTCAAACATAGGCCTCAAAGTGCTCCAAATATCCACTTGCAGATTCTACAAAAAGAGTGCTTCAAAACTTCTCAATCAAAAGAAAGTTTCAACTCTGTGAGATGAATGCACACATCACAAAGATGTTTCTCAGAATGCTTCTGTGTAGTTTTTATGTGAAGATATTTCCTTTTCCACTATAAGCCACTCAGGGCTCAAAATATCCACTGGCAGATTCTATAAAAATAGTGTTTCCAAACTGCTCAGTCAAAAGAAAGTTCAACTCTGTGAGATGAATGCAAACATTGCAAAGCAGTTTCTCAGAATCCTTCTGTGTCATTTTTATGTGAGGATATTTCCTTTTCCACAGTAGGCCTCAAAGCGCTCCAAATATACACTTGCAGATTCTGCAAAAAGAGTGTTTCTATACTGCTCAATCAAAAGAAAGGTTCAACACTGTGAGATGAATGCACACATCAAAAAGAAGTTTCTCCAAATGCTTCTGTGTAGTTTTTATGTGAACACATTTCTTTTTCCACAATAGGCCCCAAATGGCTCCAAATATCCACTTTCAGATTCTACAAAAAGAGTATTTCAAAACTGCTCAATCAAAAGAAAGGTTCAACAGTGTGAGATGAATGCACCCATCACAAAGAAGTTTCTCAGAATGCTTCCATGTAGTTTTTATGTGAAGATATTTCCTTTTCCAAAATAGGCTGCAAAGGGCTCCAAATATTAACTTGGAGATTCTACAAAAAGAGAGATTCAAAACTGCTCAATCAAAAGAGAGGTTCAACTCTGTGAGTTGAATGCACACATCAAAAAGAAGTTTCTCAGAATGCTTCTGTGTAGTATTTATGTGAAGATATTTCCTTTTCCATAATAGACCGCAAAGCACTTCAAATATCCACTTGCAGATTCTACAAAAAGAGTGTTTCAAAACTGCTCCGTCAAAAGAAAGATTCAGTTCCCTGAGATAAATGCCCACATCACAAAGATGTTTCTCAGAATGTTTCTGTGTAATTTTTATGTAAAGATATTTCCTTTTCCACCATAGGCTGCAAATGGCTCCAAATATCCACATGCAGATTTTACAAAAATAGTGTTTCTAAACTGCTCTATCAAAAGATAGGTTCAACTCTGTTAGTTGAATGCACACATCACAAAGAAGTTTCTCAGAATGCTTCTGTGTAGTTTCTATATGAAGATATTTCCTTTTCCACCATAGGCTTCAAAGCGTTCCAAATATCCACTTGCAGATTCTACAAAAAGAGTGTTACCAAACTGCTCAATCAAAAGAAAGGTTCAACTCTGTGAGATGAATGCACACATCACAAAGAAATTTCTCAGAATGCTTCTGTGTAGTTTTCATGTGACAGTTTTTTATAATTTCTGATCTTTTACATTTGCTGTGGAGAGCTTTACTTCCAACTATGTGGTCAATTTTGGAATAGGTGTGGTGTGGTACTGAAAAAAATGTCTATTCTGTTGACTTGGGGTGGAGAGTTCTGTAGATATCTATTAGGTCCGCCTGGTGCAGTGCTGAGTTCCATTCCTGGGTATCCTTGTTAACTTTCTGTCTCGTTGATGTGTCTAATGTTGACCGTCGGGTGTTAAAATCTCCCATTATTATTGTGTGGGAGTCTAAGTCTCTTTGTAGGTCACTCAGGACTTGCTTTATGAATCTGGGTGCTCCTGCATTGGGTGCATATATATTACTTATCTGAGAAATGTAACTAACCTGCACATTGTGCACATGTACCCTAAAACTTAAAGTAGAAAAATAATAAAAAAAGAGTGTTTCAAAACTGCTCAATCAAAAGAAATGTTCAAGTCTGTGAGATGAATGCACACATCAGAACGAAGTTTCTCAGAATGCTTCTGTCTAGTTTTTATGTTAAGATATTTAACTTTGCACTATAGGACAAAAAGTGCTCCAAATATCCACATGCACATTTTACAAAAGGAGTGTTTGAAAACTGCTCAGTCAAAAGAAAGGTTCAACTCACACACGTCACAAAGAACCTTCTCAGAATGCTTCTGCATAGTTTTTATGTGAAGACATTTCCTTTTCCAAAATAGGCCACTAAGGGCTCCAAATATCCACTTGCATATTCTACAAAAAGAGAGATTCAAATCTGCTCAAACAAAAGATAGGTTCAACACTGTGAGTTGAATGCAAACCTCACTAAGGAGTTTCTCAGAATGCTTCTATGTAGTTTTTATGGGAAGACATTTCCTTTTCCACCATAGGCCGCAAAGGTCTCCAAATATCCACTTGCAGATTTTACAAAAAGAGAGTTTCGAAACTGCTCAATCAAAAGAAAGTGTCAACTCTGTGAGATGAATGCACATATCACATAGAAGTTTCTCAGAATGCTTCTGTGTATTTTTTATGTGTAGATATTTCCTTTTCCAACATAGGCAGCAAAGGGCTCCAAATACCCACTTGCAGAATCTACAAAAAGAGAGTTATAAAATTGCCCAATCAAAAAATACGTTCAACTCTGTGAGTTCAATGCACACATCACAAAGTAGTATGTAAGAATGCTTCTTTATAATTTTTATGTGAAGATATTTCCTTTTCCTTAATAGGCCTCAAAGCTCCCCAAATATCCACTTGCAGATACTACAAAAATAGTTTTTCCATACTGCTCATTAAAAGGAATGCTTCAACTGTGTGAGATGAATGCACACGTCACTAAGAAGTTTCTCAGAATGCTTCTGTATAATTTTTATATGAATATATTTCCTTTTTCACCATGAGCCTCAAAGTTTTCCAAATATCCACTTGCAGGCTTTACAAAAAGGGAGTTTCAAAACTGCTCAATCATAAGGTAGGTTCAAACCTGTGAGTTGAATGCACACATCACAAAGAAGTTTCTCAGAATGCTTCTGTGTAGTTTTAATATTAAGATATTTCCTTTTCCACAATAGGCCTCAAAGCGCTACAAATATCCATTTGCAGATTCTACAAAAAGAGTGTTTCCAAACTGCTCAATCAAAAGAAAGGTTCAACTCTGTGAGATGAATGCACACATCACACAGAAGTTTCTCAGAATGCTTCTGTGTAGTTTTTTTTTATTTTTTATTTTTTTATTTTCTTATTTTTATACTTTAAGTTTTAGGGTACATGTGCACAATGTGCACGTTAATTACATATGTGTACAAGTGCCATACTGGTGTGCTGCACCCAGTAACTGGTCATTTATCATTAGGTTTGTCTCCTAATGCTATCCCTTACCCCTCCCCCCAACCCACAACTGTCCCCAGAGTGTGATGTTCCCCTTCCTGTGTCCATGTGTTCTCATTGATCTATTCCCACCTATGAGTGAGAATATGCAGTGTTTGTTTTTTTCTTGTGATAATATACTGAGAATGATGATTTCCAATTTCATCAATGTCCCTACAAAGGACATGAACTCATCATTTTTTATGGCTGCACAGTATTCCATGGTGTATATGTGCCACATTTTCTTAATCCAGTCTATCGTTGTTGGGCATTTGGGTTGGTTCCAAGTCTTTGCTATTGTGAACAGAGCCACAATAAATATATGTGTGCATGTGTCTTTATAGCAGCATGATTTATAGTCCTTTGGGTATATACCCAGTAATGGGATGGCTGGGTCAAATGGCATTTCTAGTTCTAGATCCCGGAGGAATCACCACTCTGACTTCCACAATGATTGAACTAGTTTAAAGTCCCACCAACAGTGTAAAAGTGTTCCTATTTCTCCACATCCTCTCCATCACCTGTTGTTTCCTGACTTTTTAATGATTGCCATTCTAACTGGTGTGAGATTGTATCTCATTGTGGTTTTGATTTGCAATTCTCTGATGGCCAGTGATGGTGAGCATTTATTCATGTGTTTTCTGGCTGCATAAATGTCTTCTTTTGAGAAGTGTCTGTTCATGTCCTTCGCCCACCTTTTGATGGGTTTTTTTGTTTTTTTCTTGTAAATTTGTTTGAGTTCATTGTAGATTCTGGATATTAACCCTTTGTTAGATGAGTAGCTTGTGAAAATTTTCTCCCAATTTGTAGGTTGCCTGTTCATTCTGATGGTAGTTTCTTTGGCTGTACAGAAGCTCTTTAGTTTGATTAGATCCTATATGTCAATTTTGGCTTTTGTTGCCATTGCTTTTGGTGTTTTAGACATGAAGAACTTGCCCATGCCTATGTCCTGAATGGCAATGCCTAGGTTTTCTTCTAGGGTTTTTATGGTTTTAGGTCTAATCTTTAAGTCTTTACTCCATCTTGAATTAATTTTTGTATAAGGTGTAAGGAAGGGATCCAGTTTCAGCTTTCTACATATGGCTAGCCACTATTCCCAGCACCATTTGTTAAATATGGAATCCTTTCCCCATTCCTTGTTTTTCTCAGGTTTGTAAAAGATCAGATAGTTGTAGATATGACTCGTCATTTCTGAGGGCTCTGTTCTGTTCCATTGATCCATATCTCTGTTTTGGTACCAGTTTTTGTAGAATCTAAAGTGGATATTTGGAGCACTTTGAGGCCTATTGTGGAAAAGGAAATATCTTCACATACAAACTACACTGAAGCATTCTGAGAAACTTCTTTGTGATGGGTGCATTTTACTCACAGAGTTGAACCTTTATTTTGATTGTGCAGTTTGGAAACAGATTTCTTTTGGTATCGGCAATTGGATATTTGGAGAGGTTTGAGGCCTATGGTGGAAAAGGAAATATCTTCACATAAAAACTAGACAGAAGCATTCTGAGAAACTTATTTGTGATGTCTGCATTCAACTCACATAGTTGAACCTTTCTTTTCATTGAGCACTTTTGAAACACTCATTTTGTAGAATCTGCAACTGGATATTTCAAATGCTTTGAGTCCTATGGTTTAAAAGGAAATATCTTTACATTAAAACTAGACAGGAGCATGCTGATAAACTTCATTATATTGCGTGCATTCATCTCACAGAGTTGAACCTTTCTTTTGATTGAGCAGTTTGGAAACACTCTTTTTGTGGAATCTACAAGTGGATATTTGGAGCACTTTGAGGCCTGCAGTGGAAAAGGAAATATCTATGCACAAAAACCACAAAGAAGCATTCTTAGAAACTTCTTTGTGATGTGTGCATTCACCTCACAGAGTTGAACCTATCTGTTGATTGAGCAGTTTTGAAAATATCTTTTTGTAGAATTTGCAAGTGGATATTTGAAGCCCTTTGCCTCCTATGGTGGAAAAGGAATTAACTTCACAAAAAACTACACAAAAGAATTCTGAGAAACTTCTTTAGGATCTGGACATTCAACTGCCAGAGTTGAAACTCTCTTTTTATAGTCCAGTTTTGAAACTATCTTTGGTAGAATCTGCAAGTGGTATTAGGAGCCCTTTGAGGCCTAAGGTGGAAAAGGAAATATCTTCACATAAAAACTCCACAGAAGCATTCTGAGAAACTTTTGTGATGTTTCCATTCATCTCACAGAGTTGAACCTCTGTTTTGATTGAGCAGTTTGGAAACACTCATTTTGTAGAATCTGCAAGTGGATATTTGGAGTGCTTTGAGGCCTATTGTGCAAAAGGAAATATCTTCAAATAAAAACTACACAGAAGCATTCTCAGAAATGTCTTTGTTTCGTGTGCATTCATCTCACCGAGTTGAAACTTTCTTTTGACTGAGCAGTTTTGAAACACTCTTTTTGTAAAATCTGCAAGTGGATATTTTGAGCACTTAGAGGCCTATGGTGGAAAAAAGAATATCTTCACATAAAAACTACACAGAAGCATTCTGAGAAACTTCTTTGTGATGTGTTCATTCAACTCGCAGAGTTGAACCTATCTTTTGATAGTACAGTTTTGAAACTCTCTATTTGAAGAATCTGTACGTGGATATTTGGAGCCCTTTGTGGCCTATGGTGGAAAAGACAATATCTTCACACGAAAAATACACAGAAGCATTCCGAGAAACTTCTTTCTGATGTTTACATTCATCTCCCTGAGTTGGCCCTTTCTTTTGATTGAGCAGTTTTGAAACACTGTTTTTGTAGAATCTGCAAGTGGAGATTTGGCCCGCTTTGAGGCCTGTTGTGGAAAAGGAAATATCTTCACATAAAAACTACACGGAAGCATTCTGAGAAACTTCTTTGTGATATGTGCATACAACTCGCAGATTTGAACCTTTATTTTGATTGAGCAGTTTTGAAACTCTCTTTTTGTAGAATCTGCAAGTGTATATTTGGAGCGCTTTGTGGCCGACAGCGGAAAAGGCAATATCTACCCATAAAAGCTACACAGAAACATTCTGAGAAACTTCTCTGTGATGTCTGCATTCAACTGACAGAGATTAACTTATCTTTTGATAGAGCAGTTTTGATACTCTTTTTGTAGAATCTGCAAGTGGATATTTGGAGCCCTTTGAGGCCTGTGGTGGAAAAGGAAATATCTTCACATGAAAACTACACAGAAGCATTCTGAGAAACACCTTTGTGATGTGTGCATTCAACTCACAGTGTTGAACCTTTCTTTTGCTTGAGCAGTTTTGAAACACTCTCTTTATAGAACCTGCAAGTGGATATTTGGAGCGATTTGAGGCCTATGGTGGAAAAGGAAATATCTTCATAGAAAAACTACACAGAAGCTTTCTGAGAAACTTCTTTATGATGTATGCATTCATCTCACAGAGTTCAACCTTTCTTTTTGAAAGTTGAAAGTTCAACCTTTCTTTTTGAAAAGTTCTTTTGAACTTTGGAAACATTGTTTTAGTAGAATCTGCAAGGGGATATTTGGAGCCCGTGGAGGCCTATTGGGTAAAAGGAAATATCTTCACATAAAAACTACATGCATTCTGAGGAACTTCTTTGTGATGTGTGCATTCATCTCACAGATTTGAAACTTTCTTTTGGTTGAGCAGTTTTGAAACCCTCTTTTTGTAGCATCTGTAAGTGGATACTTGGAGACCTTTGCATCCTATGGTGAAAAAGGAAGTGTCTATACATAAAAACTACACAGAAGCATTCTGAGAAACGTCTTTCTGATGTGTGCGTTCATCTCACAGGATTGAACCTATCTTTTGATAGAGTAGTTTTTAAACTATCTTTTCGTGGAGTCTGCAAGTGATTGCTTGGAGCCGTTCGTGGCCTTGGTGGAAAAGGAAATATCTTCCTATAAAAACTACACAGAAGCATTCTGAGAAACTTCTTTGTGATGTGTCCATTCATCCCACAGAGCTGAACCTCTCTTTTGATTGAGTAGTTTGGAAACACTCTTTTTGTAGAATCAGCAAATGGGTGTTTGGAGTGCTTTGAGGCCTATGGTGGTAAAGGAAATATCTTCACATAAAAACAACACACAGAAGCATTCTCAGAAACTTCTTTGTTTTGTGTGCATTCATCTCACAGAGTTGAACCTTTCTTTTGATTGAGCAGTTTGGAAACACTCTTTTAGTAGAGTCTGCAAGTGGATATTTGGAGCCCTTGGAAGCCTACTATGGAAAAGGAATTATCTTCACATAAACATGACACAGAATCATTCTGAGAAATTTCTTTGTGATGTGTGCATTCATCTCACAGAGTTGAACCTATCTCTTGATAGAACAGTGTGGAAACTCTCTTTTTGTAGAATCTGCAAGTGGATATTTGTAGCCTTTTGTGGCATATGGTGGAAAAGGAAATATCTTCAAATAAAAACTACACAGAAGCATTCTGAGAAACTTCTTGGTGATGGGTGCATTCAACTCACAAAGGTGAAACTTTCTTTGCATAGAGCAGCTTTGAAACTCACTTTTTGTAGAATGTGCAATTGGATATTTAGAGCCCTTTGTGGACTATGGTGGAAAAGCAAATATCTTCACATAAAAACTAAACAGAAGCATTCTGAGAAACTTATTTGTGATGTGTGCATTCATCTCACAGGGGTGAACATTTCTTTTGATACAGCAATTTTGAAACACTCTTTTTGTAGAATCTGCAAGTGCATATTTGGAAAACTTTGAGGCCTATGGTGGAAAAGGAAATATCTTTACATAAAAACTACAAAGAAGCATTCTGAGAAACTTCTTCATGATATTTGCATTCATGTCACAGAGTTGCACCTCCCTTTTTATTGAGCAGTTTGGAAACCCTCATTTTGTAGAATCTGGAAGTGGGTATTTGGAGCACTGTAAGGTCTATAGTGGAAAAGTAAATATCTTCACACGAAAAGTACACAGAAGCATTCTGAGAAACTTCTTTCTGATGTTTACCTTCATCTCCCTGAGTTGACCTTTTCATTTGATTGAGCAGTTTTGAAACACTGTTTTTGAAAGTCTGCAAGTGGAGATTTGGAGCTATTTGAGGCCTATGGTGTAAAAGGAAATAACTTCACATAAAAAATACACAGAAACATTCTGAGAAACTTCTTTGTGCTGTGTATTTTCAACTCCCAGAGTTGAACCTATCTTTTGATAAAGCAGTTTTGAAACTCCCTTTTGTAGAATCTGCAAGTGGTTATTTGGAGCCCTTTGTGGCCGATGGTGGAAAAGGAAATATCTTCCCATAAAAACTACACAGAAACACTCTGAGAAACTTCTTTGTGATGTGTGCATTCATCTCACAGATTTAAATCTTTCTTTTGATTGAGCAGATTGAAACACTTGTTTGGAGAATCTGTAAGTGGATATTTGGAGCGCTTTGAGGCCTATTGTAGAAAAGGAAATATCTTCACATAAAAAGCACAAGAAAGCATTCTGAGAAACTTCTCTGTGATGTGTGCATTCATCTTACAGATTTGAACCATTCTTTCAATTGAGCAGATTTGGAAACACTCTTTTTGTAGAATCTGCAAATGGATATTTGGAACGCTTTGAGGCCTATGGTGGAAAAGGAAATATCTTCACATAACAACTACACAGAAGCATTCTGAGAAACTTCTTTGTGATCTGTGCATTCAACTTACAGTGTTGAAACAATCTTTTGATAGAATAGTATTGAAACTCTCTTTTTGTAGAATCTGCAAGTGGATATTTGGAATGCTTTGTGGCCTAAGGTGGAAAAGGAAATATCTTCACATAAAATATACACAGAAGCATTCTGAGAAACTTCTTTGTGATGTGTGCATTGATCTCACAGAGTTGAACCTTTCTTTTGTTTGAGCAGTTTTGAAACACTCTCTTTGTAGAACATGCAAGGCAATATTTGCAGCGCTTTGAGGCCTATGGAGGTTAAGGAAATATCTTTACATAAAAACCACATGGTATCATTCTGAGAAACTTCCTTGTGTTGAGTGCACCCAACTCACACAGTTGTACCTATCTTTCAATAGAGCAGTTTTGAAACTCTTTTTGTAGAATCTGCAAGTGGATATTTGGAATCATTTGCAGCTTAAGGTAGAAAAGGAAATATCTTCACATAAAATATACACAGAAGCATTCTGAGAAATTTCTTTGTGATGTGTGCATTGATCTCACAGAGTTGAAACTTTCTTTTGATTGAGCAGTTTTGAAACACTCTTTTTGTAGAATATGCAAGGTGATATTTGCAGTGCTTTGAGGGCTATGGTGGAAAAGGAAATATCTTTACATAAAAACCACACGGTATCATTCTGAGAAACTTCCTTGTGTTGAGTGCACCCAATTCACAGAGTTGTACCTATCTTTCAATAGAGCAGTTTTGAAACTCTATTTTTGTAGAATCTGCAAGTGGTTATGTGGCCAATGGTGGAAAAGGAAATATCTTCCCACAAAAACTACACAGAAGCATTCTGGGAAACTTCTTTGTGATGTGTGCACTCAGGTCGCAGAGATGAACCTATCTTTTGATAGAGCAGTTTTGAAACTCTCTTTTTATAGGATCGGCAATTGGTTATATGGAGCCCTCTGTGGCCGATGGTGGAAAAGGAGATATCTTCCCATAAAAACTACAAAGGAGCATTCTGAGAAACTTCTTTGTGATATGTGCATTCATCTCACAGAGTTGAAACTTTCTTTTGATTGAGCAGTTTTGAAACACTCTTTTCATAGAATCTGCAAGTGGATATTTGGAGTGCTTTGAGGCCTATGGTGGAAAAGGAAATATATTCAGATAAAAACTACACAGAAGCATTCTGAGAAACTTGTTTGTGACATGTGCATTCATCTCAGAGTGTAGAACCTCTCTTTTAATTGAGCAGTTTTGAAACTCTCTTTTTTTAGAATCTGCAAGTGATTATTTGGAGCCCTTTGTGGCTGATGGTGTGAAAGGAAATATCTTCCCAGAAAAACTACACAGAAACATTCTGAGGAACTTTTTTGAGATGTGTGCATTCATCTCACAGAGTTGAACATTTCGTTTGATTGAACAGTTTTGAAACACACTTTTTGTACAATCTGCAAGTGGACATTTGAAGGACTTTGAGGGCTATGGTGGAAAAGGAAATATCTTCACATAAAAACTACACAGGAGCGTTCTGAGAATCTTCTTTGTGATGTGTGCATTCATTTCACACTGATGAACCTATCTTTTGATACAGCAGTTTTGAATCTTTCTTTTTGTAGAATCTGCAAGTGGATATTTGGAGCCCTTGGCAGCTTACAATGAAAAAGAAAATGTCTTCACATAACAACTACACAGAAGCATTCTGAGAAACTACTTTGTGATGTGTGCATTCATCTCAT
This sequence comes from Homo sapiens, assembly GCF_000001405.40. Taxonomy (NCBI): domain Eukaryota; kingdom Metazoa; phylum Chordata; class Mammalia; order Primates; family Hominidae; genus Homo; species Homo sapiens. Next base: position 39,497,103 of record NC_000010.11, read on the forward strand.
AGAGTTGAACCTCTCTTTTGATTGAGGAGTTTGGAAACACTCTTTTTGTAGAATCTGCAAGTGGATATTTGGAGTGCTTTGAGGCCTAATGTGGAA